>NC_000006.12:15817575-15969090 GCF_000001405.40 Homo sapiens
ACTCTAAGCTTAAAGAGAAGCAGAACTGGAAGGCAACCACTGAGATCATCAAGTAGTTTGAAAGACATCATCTTTATTGGATAGCATGAAATCTAAGAATTCTTTCAAAAACACTGGTGTACATGTGTACGTGTGTGCTGTGTGTCCCTGTGTGAAAGGAGATGGGGGGAGAGAGAGAATGTGATTGTGAGAGAGGAAACATGAAACAGGGCTTGGCCATGGGGCACCATGGAAGGCCAGAAGAAAGCAGGAGGAGGAGGATGTTAGTAAGATAGTAGGGAAAGAGGAAATGGGGAGGCAATATATGTGGCCTGAGACAAGAGATAGAACAGTGAGAATTCAGTGCAAGGTCTCAGAGAAACAGTTGGTTTGCCCCCAAATTCCTCATGTTTTTCAACAGGCTTCTGGTTCCAAGAGGGCATGGCTCCTTAATGCCATCAGGAACCCATACTGGGTCCTGATGTCCAGGAAAGAGAAGGGAATGGAGAAGCCTTTTGAATTGGAACATCTTACTCCAGAAGGATGTTTGCAAGCTCCAAGGTTGGCGTGCTTTAATTATTCTCTGCTGGAGAAACATAGGCTTAGCTCAGTGGAAGGCAGTCTCAGGAAGGGAGGGGAGGAACAGGGCACTCTTGCAGCGCTCAGCCCCCGCCCTCTGGCCTGCCACCCCACAGAGGTTGCCAGGCCCACTCCCCAGTTGATCCGGGGTTTTGGATGGGTCCGAAGGCTCACTGCAGAGTTCAGGCAGCTGCGTTCCTCTACACCGCCCTGAAATTGTACCTAAATGTTTTACTTGTTCTTCTGTGACAGGACTAAATGTAAAAAATGGAGGGTAAATACATTTTAATTTAGTTTGAAAATTTTTTTTAAAGATTTTGTTTTAAATCCATTAAGTGAAAAAATATATACTTAAATCCCCTATTTACATGAATGCAGGCAAATGAAAGAAGAGAAATAATGTTTCAATTTTACATTAAAACGGAATATCCCCATTCAGAGGAAAATTTTGCAACAAATGAAGCCATTTAGCATGGAACTAATCATCTCTTTTAAATCATAGAGAAATGTACCAAGTTCTTACAAAGAGATATAGCTTTAAAATAGCCTGCTTCAGAATGCAATCATCTTAGGTATTGTCTTGCAGATTGATTAACAGAGGAGAACATGGTGGCAAATCTGTTCTCCCTCTGGACATGACCTCCACCACTCTCTGCTCTATTCTTCTTCTTTCTCTTAAAATTATAGGCTTTGAAATATCAGATTTCGAATAGTTTTCAAATTCATTAGCATAGAGTTCTTATAACTTTATAAAAACTTGTCATTGCTTAAAAAAAGTCACATTCGTGATAAAAAATTGCTAAACATAAAAAATAAAAAACAACCCCCCCCCCACCAACATAATAAAAAGTAAAATCTTGCATCTAGAATTAATTAGTACGAAAAATCAGGGTGCATAAACTTCCGATCTTTCTTCTATATTTAACAAAACAAAACAAAACTAAGATTGGAACATGCTTTGAGTTTGTTCTTGTATTAGTTTTTCCTTAAGTTAATTGTGAACATTTCCACATTGTTAAGCACTTTTTCAGAAACATAATTTTTAATGAGGATACCATAAATTGCTTAGTCCTTCCCCCATTCTTGAACATTGTGGTTGTTCAGTATTTTGCTATTATGAAAGTACTATGATGAATATTCTGTTCAAAGACTTTGAGTGAATCTTGATTATTTTCTTAGGCTAAGTTTCTAGAAGCAGAATTACTGAGTCAAATACTATGAAGAGATTTCGGTCTTCTGATGTGGTGAATGTCACTCACATCTTTGCAGCATGTGGACACAATAAAGTCTCGGCCGAACATGTGGCTTTTGTTGCAGGCAGGCGGTGGGAGGGGTGGGGAGGCAGTGTGCAATGGGTAACGGGGCTGATGGTGTGGGGGTAAAAGAATTTACCAAGACAGGTATAGGTAAAGAAAGTTACAGTTATTAGAGAAAGTAGGAAAATATGTTTGAAAGGGGGCAGTGGACAGCCTGCATGAGAGAAGCAGACTGCAAAGAAACAAAGGCTTGCTGGAGATTTTTTTTTCTTTTTTTTTTTTTTTGAGATGGAGTCTTGCTGTCGCCCAGGCTGGAGTGCAGTGGCATGATCTCACTGCAAACTCCGCCTCCCAGGTTCACGCCATTCTCCTGCCTCAGCCTCCTGAGTAGCTGGGACTACAGGCACCTGCCACCACACCCGGCTAATTTTTTATATTTTTAGTAGAGATGGGGTTTCACCGTATTAGCCAGGATGGTCTCCATCTCCTGACCTCATGATCCGCCCACCTCGGCCGCCCAAAGTGTTGGGATTACAGGCGTGAGCCACTGTGCCCAGCCGCTTGCTGGAGATTTTATGGGATGGTGTTTATGCTGTATGCTGAAGAGGGCTTTGCGCAGTACTGATAATGCCAGGGTTGCAGGGAGCTAACTTGAAGGTGTCTGGTGATAGCTTGGTGTGAGAACATTGTAAGTTATTTGTGCAGTAGGGCTCTGTGTCCTGGACCATGAAGAAAGGCAGGCTTGTAGCTTATCTGCTTCCTCTTGGTCCCACCAGCTCTACTCCTTTTGCCTAATTAGGATGCCACAGCTTTTACCAGCTTGAGTGCCCCTCTTTTTTAATTTTTATTTTTTGAGACAGGGTCTTGCTCTGTTGCCCAGGCTGGAGTGCAGTGGTGCAATCTTGGCTCACTGCAGGCTCCATCTCCTGGGTTCAAGCGATTCTCATGCCTCAGCCTCCCAAGTAGCTGAGATGACAGGCATGTGCCACCACATCTGGCTATTTTTTTCTTTTGTTTTGTATTTTTTGTAGAGATAGGGTTTCGTCATGTTGGCCAGGCCGGTCTCCAAATCCTTGCTTCAAGTGATCCACCCTCCTTGGCCCCCTAAAGTACTGGGATTACAGGCATGAGCCACTGTGCCCGGCTGAGTGCCCCTCTTTTGACCTGAGGAGAAAGACTAAGAGAAAGAGTAAAAGAGAAAGAGGGAGAGAGTGAGAGAGAGAGAGAGAGAGAGAGAATCAGAGAGAAGAAATGAAACAGGGCTTGGCCGCTGGGCAACCTGGAAGGCTACTTAAATCCCCTTTCTAGTTCCCTTTTCCTCTCTAGCATGCCAGGGAGCTCCCAGAGGTGCCCCACATTGGTTGGTGGTCCCTCAGGACACCCAGGTACCCTTCCTGCTGAAGTGCACCTGAGCTGCCGCTGAGCTGCTCCACGCTGCCCTGGCCGCTGGTGCCAGCTCTCTCCTCTCCATTCTGCACTTCAGAGGTTCCCATGACTCAGATTCTTGGTCTGTGAGGTGTGATGGCCTTTATACTAATGCATCTCTGGTTTCAAGTGCACCTTTTTTTCCCTCCCTAGAACATCCCAGCTGGCTGGAGCTAGGCAGATCCAAGTGCTCGTGTACTTGCCAGTGGGCTTGGCACCACTGTGTCTCCATCTGGAGACCCCGTAGCCTAATGAGTCTACCTGCCTCTTCTTCCCCAAGGAAGATTTCCTTCAAGGATACCATATTTCCTCCTGGAACTTAATTTGAGATGACCCCATCTAAATTTACTAGACAATCTGAACTTCACACAGATACGTAGTTCTGGATAGTTCCAAGACAGCTTCTAGTTCCCCAGCAAATAGTGAATTTAAATAGCTATCAGAGGAGAAGGGTGCTGCCTGGAATGTTCAAATCTCTGACCCAGCCAGCAGAAATCTTCTCTATAATACACATGACTAAATTGTCCTTCAGAAAGGTTGTGTCTATTCACCTTTCCAATAGAAAGTGTACATTTCTCTAAGCCACCAATGATATTAGATAGCATCATTTTTAAAAAAGGATTTTGTCCATTTAGAGGCCAATAAGAGGGTCTGGTTATTTTTATTGGCACTTGCTTAGTTATGAGTAAATTTGAATGCTTTCGCAAATGTTTACTGTTTTTCTTCGTTTGAGAATTATCTGTTCTTTTGCTTAATTTAAAAAAATCTTGAAATAGGCATCTTTTTCTCATTAACTTTTATGTTTTAAGGATGTTAATTAACCATCTGTTCATCAGGTGGGATACTTTTAGTTGCAACTAAAATTCAAGGGAGTTGTAATGTCATAAATAAAAAGACCCAAGTAGGCAAGCTCTGGAATTGGTTAATTCAGGGGCCTTATGGCATCACCGGGGTGCCTGATGTCTTTCCACTCTGCCATCCCTGACATATCGTCTTGCTTTCAGCCTCATGCCTTCATGCTCTGGCGATGGTGGCTCATAACTCCAGAAATCATCTGCTCCTCACAGCAGCATTCAGAGGCAGAAAGAGGCCATTCTCTTCCATGAGTTTCTTCAAGTTTGAGGGAAACTTATCCCAGAATCCCTCAAGCCGACTTCCCTTCACAGCTCATTGGTCAGAACTGTATCTCATGCCCATGGCAACACCAGTCACAGGCAAAGGCTACCCATGACTGGGGTGACTGGCTTAGATCAGTCACCCTGAGTCTCACGGAAAAGTGTAGATACCCCTCTCTTAGCAAGGAAAAGCAGGGAATGACCTATGACTGCCTACCAATAGTATCTGCTACACTATGACTTTCACATATGAAATTCTAGTTTTAAAACAAAATACGGAGCCAGACACAGTAGCTTGTGCCTCTGGTCCCAGCTACTTGGAAGGCTGAGGCAAGAGAATCACCTGAGCCCAGGAGGTCGATGCTGCAGTGAGCCATGATTGTACCACGGCACTCCAGCCTGGGCGACAGAGCAAGAGCTTGTCTCTAAAGTAAAACAAACAAAAACCAAAGTAGTAGCACATCTCAGATCTTTCCCTGAGCAGTGCCTTGTGTGTCAGGGAAGTCTCTTGATTGCTAATACACAATACTTAGCAGAGATGTTTGTGCCTCACTGGAGGTCAGAAGGTCTATTCCCCAGCTGCATTAGAGTACTCCCTCTGTATAGCAGAGGAGTTAAAATCAATGAGTCTGAAAACATTTTCTTCTAAAAACTGCTTAGAATTCCTCAAAGACTCTGCATTTTTCTGAGGGGAGCATTATACATACATCCAGTGCTCATCAAGACCAATTCAGATATCCATAACACTCCTCTCCTCACTTGCTGGGTGTGTCAGTTTCCCATTGCTACTAAAACAAATTATGTAACCTTCGTGGCATCAAACAGCACAAATTTATCATCTTACAATTTGGAAGGGTAGCAATGCATTTAATATGGCCCTCAGTGGGCTAACATCAAGTTATCCACTGGGCTGTGTTCCTTCTGGAGACTCAAGGAGAGAACCTGTTTCCTTTCCATTTCCAGCTGCTAGAGGCTGTCCACTCCCTCTGTCTTCAAAGCCAACCATGTTACTTATTATATCACATCACTCTGACCTTCTCTTCTGCTTCCCTCTTGCACTTATTTTTTAAGAGATGGGGTCTTGCTGTGTTGCCCAGGCTGGAATGCAGTGGCACAATCATGGCCCACTGCAGCCTTGAACTCCTGGGCTCAAGTAATCCTCCCACCTCAGCCTCCTGAGTAGCTGAGACTGCAGTTACATGCCAGCATGCTTGGCTCCCTCTTGCACTTTTAAAGACCTTTGTGATTACCTCGGGCCCACCCTGATAATAAGGACAGCCTCCCCATCTCAAGGTCATCTGATTAGCAATCTTAATTTCATCTGCATCTTTACTTCTCCTTTGCCATGTAACCTAACCTAACACAATCATAGATTCTGTGCATGAGAATGCAGAAATCTTTGTGCAGGTATTTTTCTGTCTACCATAACCCGTAGGAAAATAATTTCCTTTTCCTTCTCTATAATCTTTATTTAATGTTACCATGGTATTTAGGATACTTCTGGCCTCAAAATAGTACTGCTTTGGTTTTCTAGAGGCCACTTCATTATTTTCCCTTTGGGCCCATAAGGGTTCTGCCTCTGGCTTTTTGCTGAGGATACGACATTTGGCATCAGATCAAAGAGTGCAAGTATCTCTTCTTCCGGGCTTTCTAAGCCTCTCTGCTCCTTAGCATGGATATTTCTATCTGGTTGCCCATAACAGACTCATCATTCCACTATGCTTCTATTTAGGGTTGTACTATATGTATTCACTCCTCTTTAGTATGGTTCCCTTGTCAGAGTAAATCCATCTTGGAGCAGAGAGCTGCTTGCCCCACTTTGACTTCGTTTCTCACAAGTCCATGGAAGCCATGCGCTGGGATAAATTTAGCTCAGCTCTTGACCCTGACAGGTCATAGAAGCTGTCCTTTATACTCCGAATTGCCTTAGGTCATTTTAATGGTAAGAAGTATTTTCTTTTAACTTTTTTCCCCTTTTCTTCCTGATGTCATTTATTATACAACATGCTTTCTTGTTCTTCCATGATCAGAACTAATCACAATAGGAAAACAGAAGACTCACCTGAGAAACACCAGGGCAGCTGAGAGCTCATAAAGAAACTGAAAACGGAACAAAATTGTGCATAGCCTGCCTTCCACATACAGACTTTGCATTTGGTAGATTATTGGTGGTTCAGTAAATGAACTTTAACATGTAAGTTATTTCTCTAGGTTTGATTGGTTCCATAATAGCATTTAGGTCCCAGTAACTTAAAAATGCCCAAATAGAAAGTTCAATGAACTCTGACCTCAAAATTCAGTGTAAATATTCTGGAACTTGGCTGGGCAGGGTGGCTCATGGCTGTAATCCCAGCACTTTGGGAGGCTGAGGCTGGTGGATCACCTGAGGTCAGGAGTTCAAGACCAGCCTGGCCAACATAGCAAAACCCCATCTCTACTAAAAAATACAAAAATTTGCCAGGCATGGTGGTGGGCACCTGTAATGCCGGCTACTTTGGAGGCTGAGGCAGGATAATTGCTTGAACCCAGGAGGTGGAGGTTGCAGTGAGCCAAAATTGTGCCACTGTACTCCAGCCTGGGCAACAGAGCAAGACTCCATCACTCTGTCTCAAAACATAGAAAAAAAAAAATTCTGGATCTTTAAGTGATCTGCATTTAGCCAAATGTGGATTCTTTTGAGATTCAAAGTGTTGCAGGAAACCCTTAGAGCCCTTTGGCCATGTGTAAAACATTACTCAGTATCAAATGAGAAAGAATAAACATGTTTGAATCACGCTGATTTAATTTTCTTTACAAAGCTGTCTGGAATCCTTGCAGCATAATCTGTTTGGGGTATCTAGAACCCAGGGATGCCATTGAATAACAAATTCCTGACTTCTGAAGATGCTCTGCATGGATGCTATGCGATGTGTTTGGTGAAACACAGCTAAACAAATTTCTTAGTTTGGGCTGCGATAACAAAGTGCTATATACTGGGTGGATTATAAATGACAGAAACTTATTTCTCACACTTCTGGAGGCTGAAAGTCTGAGATCGGGGTACCAACATGCTCAAGTTCTGGTGAGAACTCTCTTCTGTGTTGCCATCTGCTGCCTTCTCATATCCTCGTGTGGCAGAGATCAGAGACGGGAAGAAAGCTCTCACTTGACTCATATAAGAACACTAATCCCATTCATGAGGGCTCTACCCTTATGGCCTCATCTCATCCTAATTACCTCCCAAAGACCCACCTCCTTATACCATCCCATTGTGGGGTATGGTTTCAATATATGAATTTTGAGAGCACACAGACATTTAGTCTGTAACAGGATCTATGTAGTTTTTTTAAAAAACTGATCCAACAAAGGATTTTTTAAAAGCATTTCTGCTTCTTAAATCAACTCCTGGTTTTCACGAAACCCCAGACCTCTAAGGCTTCTTTCCAGCTAAACACTAAAGACAGCACCTGAGTTTCCCTCCAAAACAGATAAAATCCTGAATAAGGGCTTGAAAGGAAACAGCTAGAAGAAACGAGGTAACCTTCCTTCTGGTTTCTTCCCTTGGCGCGCACAGGCATGATGCTACAGCTCTGTACTGTCAACGCTGTCACCAGGCATCACTTCCTTATGGTTTACACTCCTCTCTTCCCATCATGTCATTTCTTAGAGCTCTGTAATCACACAGTCGTGTGCATCCATCCCCAGCTGTCAACAGGATCTTCTGAGTAAAACACAGCTAAATAAATCTCTGCAATGAGGAAGGACCGCAATCAAAGGTGAGTCTATACCAATCTCCGCCACAGTTCTGGTCAGCCTCACTCTCCCTAGACTGCTTGCTTATTCATTGCAATGCTAGTGAAACTTTGTTCTAATTGGGTGAGCTTCTCACCTTGCATTTCAAATGAAGCCCATACTCCTAGGAACCCCTGTGTTCACGTAACTTCTGGAAACCAGCATTGAAAATATGGAGAAGGCTCTCCTGTTGATCAGAGGCTTATTAGAGGCCTGTCTGTCATCATGATTCCTTCCCGTTTTCAAGCATTTAAAATGTGAGCAGCAGTTCTAGCTGATATATCGTTTGGTGGACGTCTGTGAAGGCTCAGTACTTTGCTGTTGTTGGGGGATTATCCCATGTTCCCTGTGGTAGTCAGAATATTGGCTCCCTCAGGTGCCCATGTGCTAATCCCCAGAACCTGTGAATACATCACCTTATGTGGCAAAAGGGACTTTGCAAATGTGATGTAGGTTAAGGACCTGGAGATGAGGAGATTGTGCTGGATTAGCTGGGTGGGCTCAAAGTAATCATGAGATTCCTTATAAGGGAGAGAGGGAGGCAGGAGAGTTGGAGAAGGAGAAGGAATGATGGAGGCAGAGGTGGAGAATGCAAATGGGGTCTGGGGTCTTTGAACCAAGAAACACAGCACCCCCTAGAAATTAAAAAAGACAAACAAAAAGCCCCCCAAAACCCAAAACCACCCAAATTATTTCCTAGAGCTTCCAAAAGGAAGGTGGCACCTCTGTCATCTTGAAATAGCCCAGTGAGACCCATTTCAGAATTCTGACCTCCGGCACTGTAAGATCATAAATTTGTGTTGTTTTAGGTCATAAAGTTTATGAGAATTTATAACTTCCACAACAGGAAACTAATGCTTCCCCCTAATTAGAATCTGTTTAATTAGGCTGCTTTGGTGGCAAGAATTAACAATGAACCTCAAACAATGAGGTGTTTACCTGAAGGCGACATGTGC
This sequence comes from Homo sapiens, assembly GCF_000001405.40. NCBI lineage: Eukaryota > Metazoa > Chordata > Mammalia > Primates > Hominidae > Homo > Homo sapiens. The sequence goes on from NC_000006.12 coordinate 15,826,657, forward strand.
TTAGAAACCCACCTGCTAGGAAGAGCAGGACACGGGGAAGCTCTTTCAACCACTGCAGATCTGGCGGCTCTTGGCCCCGCCAAGCTCCTCTTGATGTGTCTGTTTCTCTCTTCCAGTTGGCTCATTTTTTCCGTCTTCTCTGTGTTCGATAATTTATTCCTGGTCTCTGTTTCTTTTCAGTTCCTGCTCCCTCATAATTTTTCCCTGAAAATGGTACCTCATGGTCTCTACTCTACCCCAGAACTTTCCTTCAGCCTCAGGTCACTGTTATCTACTCTGTTCTTTCTGTCTTAGTTCTGTTCTTGAGGATGAACGTGACTGGCCGCGCTCAATCTACCATGCTAAGTCACAGCATGGGTTGCTGGCCAGACTCTCAGTGGGCTGTCCTTAGATCACATTCCTCTCTGAGTCCAGTGAGCAGAGGCCAGGACTGAGTGATGGGTTGAGAAATGTGGCTGCCCAAGAGCCATCTCATTACTGGGGTGTGGCGGATGGGAGGTTGATGGCTATTGAAGTCAATCTAGGGCATGAATAATGGACCTAGGGAGTTGCTTTTCTTTCTGAATTAAAACATCTCCACATGGAATCTGTCCCTGATAAATAGTAAAGAGGCTCGGAAAGTCTCAAGTGTAGTCCCTTTCCTCCACCCCTGCTACTTTGCTGATACTCCAAGCAAGAATGGATATCCATTTTCTGTCCCCAGAGAGCTAGGGATTTGTTACTTATTATTTTAATTATTATTATTATTAATTTTTTTTTCTGAGACAGAGTCTTACTTTGTCACCCAGGCTGGAGTGCAATGGCACCATCTCAGCTCATTGCAACCTCCGCCTCCCGGGTTCAAGCAATTCTCCTGCCTCAGCCTCCTGAGTAGCTGGGATTACAGGCACACACCCATGCCCAGCTAATTTTCGTATTTTTAGTAGAGACAGGGTTTCACCATGTTGGCCAGGCTGGTCTTGAACTCCTGACCTCAGGTGATCCACCCCCTTCAACTGCCCAAAGTGCTGAGATGACAGGCGTGGGCCACCACACCCCGCCGAGCTGGGGATGTGTAAAGGAGATATGTAATGAGGTAATGTTAGCTGTAGAGTTTGGTCCATGGCATAAAAGGCCAAATCAGGAAGGACTGGCACCAAGGCACTGAACAAAACCAACAACCTTTCTTAAGTACCTACTCTGTACCAGGCACTGTTTTAGGCGCTTGGGCTATACCTGTGAACAAAACAGCTCTCCCCTGGGAGCTGACATTCTGAGAGGAGGAGAAAGACATACAATAATAGTCAGTCTCTCAGTGAGGCTGACCACTCATTAGACATCCAGTCATAGGCACCCAGAGGAAGTCTTGGCAAGCGTGTGAAGTATCAGAAGAGAAGAGCCAGGCAGCAGTTCCTGGGCAGGGGTCCAGGCCTGGGGCAGGGAAAGGGAGGCCAAGGAGACCTGGCACTAGGGGCTGCAGGGTGTCAGAAGGTACGGGAGTGCCATCCTGGGGGCTTCATGTCACAGCCATTATGGAGAAGACCAAGACAGCTGGTGGGCTATGGCGAAAGGGACTTGACAGTGAGGATTAAAGTGCCAAAATGAAACCTCTGTCTTCTGAGAACTGGTTGCAATATGGAGAAGTTTGTAAAGCGTGGAAGCGTGGGGACAATGCTGACAATGGGATGCAGTTTAGGGGCTTGGTTTCTGAGGAATGGGACAACCTCACCTCGGGTCAGAATGGAGTCAGGATTCTGCACCCCTGACTTTGGGGCTTCTCAGTCCCTTCTCAGAATCTGGAGTTGGGCAGAACTTGGAGACATACTAACCAGGCCCATAGGCCTGAGTGGCCCCAGCTGTGCCACCTGGACTACAGAGGGCAGGCGGGAATCAGGCAGGTCCTTACAATCAGGGCTGATCCCTGGTTGTTCTTCTCCTTGTGTGACCTGAGACCTGCCTTGGGTTATTAGTTCTGACCACTAGGGCCATGAACAGCAAGTCTAAATCTTTCAAACAGCAGCCTTCCAATTATTTAAGGCTCTTATCGCAGTATTCTGGGCAGTGATTTTTCAAACTTTATAAGCAAGAGAAGCCCCCTCTCCCCACTGCTCACCACTCTTTGATGTGAATCTTATGCTACAGTCCAAATGTAAAGCAGAGAAAAGCAGAGCTGCTCCCTCTCTACCTGGGTTAGGGACCTGTTGTCCCACCCACTCCCTCTCTGCTCCCTGTATCTTGGCAGCCCCTTGGGCATCCCTGTGAAATTTTCAATGCACTTTGAAAGCCACTCCCTGAGACTTCTGTTTTTTAGGCTGAATACCTCTAGTTCCCTCCATAACTCCTCTGTATATCTATAAGCTTCCACAACCTTCACCAACCTGGTGAATACCAGGTGAACTGTATTTTGTCAGCATGTACTCGGGGACCATAAGTAGTCTGACCACCACAGCTCAGACCTTCTGTGAGCTAGACTCCTGGACACCCTGGAGTCCTTCCTTCCATGTGTATATATCTGCCCATCTACATTTTTGGTGTTCATTAGTTCATTTCATAAACACTTAACAGATCTGATAAAAGAAAAACTTCAGCTGAATTAAATTTAAAGAAGTTTCATTGAGCAATGAACGACTCACTAATTGAGCAGCCTTCCAGGCCAGAGAAGGCTCAGAGACTCCAGCGCAGCCACGTAGTAGAAAAAGATTTATGGACAGGAAAAGGAAAGTGATGTACAGAAAACAGAAGTGAGGTACAGAAACGGCAGGATTGGTTACAAGTTGGCATTTGCCTTGTTTGAACATGGTTCAAACAGCTGGCTACATTTGATTGGCCAAAACTTGAAGATTGGCACAAGCATAGGCTATGGTCTGTTTACACCTCCACTTGCTATAGTTTGTGATGTACAGAAAAACCTTTAGGCCAAACTTAAAATATGCAAGGAAGCAGCTTTAGGCTAAACTTGATTTAACAGATCCCAACTATGAGGTTTAATATTAAGCCTTCTATGTTAAGAACTGGAGTTAAAGGGAAAAATTAAATATGGTCTTTATGTTGAAGGGGGTTGAGGAAGGTTGGGGAGAGGTTTGCTTGGCTCTAGTTGGTAAGTGCTATGATAACTATCTGTCAAGGTGCAGGACACAGGCCAGTGATTCTACCTGTGGGGGGCTGGAGAGGGCCTCCTCCCAACCAACTGGCTTCACCAGCCTCTCTTCTAGCTCTGCATTCCAGTCCCTAGCTGTGTGACCTGGGGTAGATCACATACCTCTATGCATCCTCACCTGTTTTGTCTTGTTTAATATGAGGAAATTTGACCCAAATATTTCCAAAGTCCTTCCATGTTCCATCCCATGTGCCAGTTGTGATAGTTTGCAGCTTCTGATTTGGTACTGCCAGCTGGAGCTTGGGATGCATTTTTCTCATTTAGACACATTCTCCAGTAGTGGTTAGGAGTACTTTGTTAGAAGCTCAACAGTATCTTGAAATCTGACAGTAGCATTTCTCAGAGGAATATTCATGATCCTTGGGATTAAGACCTTATTTTTCCAGAATTCAGAAAATCCTCTGAACTCGTCATTCATAGCCTCACATTACCTCTGCTTGGCAGCTCTTATTTCATGTTGGGACCCTTAAACTTAGTCACTAATTCTGACAACACTCCTACTCTTGTATCCTGGATCAGCACAAGTATTTGCTTTCATTCTGGCCTAAATCTCCATCCCATCCCCATTTCTGATTTTGATCTTTTTAGATCTCAGCCAGTGTATTGTGCAGACAGACTCTTGGTGCTGTGTGTAAGTAGAACCTAACTACCATTACAACACTCCCTATGCTCAATCAAGTTTGTGGTGTAGAACAACTGACTTCTGAACAAATTTGGAACATGGCCCCTTTAGAAGTCCAGGACTTTCTATTAACTTTTGCTTATTTTTCTTTTTTTCAGTCTTAATGTATTTACCCTCTGGCCAGTCATCCAGTGATCACTTACATCAAACTTAGCATGAAAAGATTTTTTAAGTTGAAAATGTATGTCGATTTTACTTTAAGAGAATCGGTTCTTCTGTTCACCTAAACTATACTTAATTTTCTCTTCTTGGTAAAGGTGATGTCTTTTTTCTCTAATACTAGATATTCAAATTTCCTACCAGTTAAACATCGCTTATCTTGTTTATTTTGTACACACACTCCAAAGGTGCTTACTTGCGGTTATTAATGCCATATAACTCTGAATCCCTCAGCCCTTCTTCTTTGGACATGATTTGTATCCCTCTGGGACTCTGGAACTTTCAGATGTTACTCAAGGGAGATTTTTGAGATTTCTGGTCATTAGATATCCCCATTTAATTCCAAGTAGGGATGTCTAGTGATTTTTTTCTTTTATATTTATGACTTTTGAGAGCATAATTTGTTGTCTTGGTTTTCAGATTCCTTTGAGTTGTAAGGGTTTCTGATTTGAGAACTTCAACTTTGTTTCTCTTAGCAACCCTAATTTCAATCTTAATCTTCAATCTTTCTAACATAGCACAGTCTTCCAAGATAATGTTTTGTATCAGCATCCTAAAAGAGAAAGAAGAAAATATACAAAACGAGAGCTGTGTTGTGGCAAGCATGCATAAGACTATAATCATATATACCATCTTTACACTATACCCTAGTCCATAAAACTCCTTTGTGTATGCCCTTTTATATATAGTGCATTTAAGAGTTTTGAGAGAGAGAAAGGGGAGAATCTACCAAGCTTTGGCTCTCACAGCGTTCCTTTTTCATGTCTTTGTCTCTTAAGGCTTCTCATTCTTATCCTTCTTAAAGGTAAATATGACCTTCTCATAACAACTGCAAGTGAAGTGAAAGGCACCTTTCACTACCTTTCTCACCATTGTCTTTATCTGAATTGTAGCCCGAATATATTAATATGATATATTTGGTCATTGTTCTATACAAATAAGCAAACAAAAACCCAAACTCAATTGAGACAATTTGACTGTGATTGTCTATTCACCAGACAGAACATTTTTTTTCTAAAGAAATTGGAAATTCTTTAAGCAGTAGTCTGTTCTGGAGAGTCCTTAGAGACTACAGCTGTTCTGCTCCTAGCTCTATAGTCTTCACCTTCTGTTTGTTCCCTCCTTTCTTGTTTTGTTATCCTTTAACACTGAATATACTGCTGAACTTTTAATGATGTTCTTTTCTATTTTTAGATTTTTCTTTTGCATTTTTTTCCTCCCCTGAGAATGGTGCACATTTGAAAGCTGACTTTGAATTCATGAGAGCACTGTGTTTTCAGTACAGATTTTCTGCTTTGCTCCTCTTCTTGGTGTAAGTGAGCTGACTCTGCCCCAGGGCCGTCCCAACTGCAGAATGTGCCCTTGTTCCCTCAAGGCTTATTATCACCATTTCACAGAGAGGAAGAAAATATTGGCCGGGCACGGTGGCTCACGCCTGTAATCCTAGCACTTTGGGAGGCCGAAGCAGGCGGATTACGAGGTCAGGAGATCGAGACTATCCTGGCTAACATGGTGAAACCCCGTCTCTACTAAAAATACAAAAAATTAGCCGGGCGTGGTGGTGGGCACCTGTAGTCCCAGCTACTCGGGAGGCTGACTCTGGAGGCTGAGGCAGGAGAATGGCGTGAACCCGGGAGGCGGAGCTTGCAGTGAGCTGAGATCGCGCCACTGTACTCCAGCCTGGGCGATAGGCAAGTCTCCATCTTAAAAAAAAAAAAAAAAAAAAAGGAAAAAGAAAATATTGCTATGCTGGTTTCAGCAGAGCCAATCTCACTGAAGAATAGAAAGTTGTAGCCGGGCACTGTGGCTCATGCCTGTAATCCCAGCACTTTGGGAAGCCGAGACGGGCAGATCACGAGGTCAGGAGTTCGAGACCAGCCTGACCAACATGTGAAACCCCGTTTCTACTAAAAATACAAAAATTAGCCAGGCGTGGTGGTGCATGCCTGTAATCCCAGCTACTTGGAAGGCCGAAGCAGGAGTATTGTTTGAACCCGGGAGGTGGAGGTTGCCATGAGCTGAGATTGTGCCACTGCATTCCAGCCTGGGCAACAGAGCGAGACTCCGTCTCAAAAAAAAAAAAAAAAAAAAAAAAAAAAAAAAAAAAAAAAGAAAGCGGTTACCTCCTTACTTGTTCTACAGGGTTGGAATCAAATAAGATAGCAGAGTGGCAAATATAGGCAGCTTTATGGCATAAGGTATGGTGTAATTATAGTTTATCTATTATAGTATTATTAGTATTATGCATGTTTGCTACAACACAGCTCTCTTTGTGTATATTTTGTTCTCATTTTCTCTCTCTTTTAGGGGTCTGTTACTTAACTTTATCTTGGAAGACTATGTGCTGTGTTAGAAAGAACATAAAACTGAAAGCTAGAAAATCCCAGTACTAATCCTGGCTTCATGAACTGTAATGTGACATATAAATGCTGGTTATTGTTGCTACTATTAACAACAATAGCCAGGAATGTATTGAGTGCCTGCTGTGGGTTAAGCTTTTTACATGTGTTAGTTCATTTAATCCTCATGACAGCCCCTTAAAGGGGGTCGTTATTATATTATCTTCATATGACAGGAGAGGAAATCAAGCTTTAGAGAGGTTACCCAACATCACACCTCTAGTAAGTGGTATTCAGACTCAGGTTTGTATGATTCAGAGCTCCTAGTCATTGCTACCACACCTCATCTTTTTTTAGTATTATTGATAACTATAGCAAGAATAAGGGTAATGCATGCAGGTCAATGCTGCATGATCATCTACTTTATCCCTTTCCAAATTGGTAGAACCAACTGTTTGACTTTGAAGCTAAAATGAATCCCAAGGATCACTTAGTGGAGCCTCCTCAATTCACAATTGAGGAAACTAAAGCCCCAAGAAAGGAAATGCCTTTTCTAAGCTGACAGTAAACTCCAGTGTGGACACCTGAACCTCCGAACCATCTGACTGTATGTGAACACAATTTCCTGCTTTCTTCTCATTCACCATGCAACTGATGATCACATTTGTGTATTCCTCTCCCAGGGACTACAGATCTGATACTTTGGGTGGATGTCAGAGATCCACATGATTTAAAGCAGGAAATCAGGCCTGGTCTTTTCAAGGTCTTAGGTTCGCCAGGTGGGTGACTTCCATGCTGTCTTTACAAGTGACAATTTCCCAAAGGGATAAACTCACCACATACTGTCTCTCATTTTATTGCCCTGTTGGCTTTCTTATGCACTCTGTCAGTGTCCACAACCGTCTTCATAATAGGATCAACACTGACACTTGAGATACTATAGTCCAATAAATTGAAGGTCTCCAACTCATGACTCCTTGTATCAAGTAGGATACAATCTGCTGCAAGGGACAAATAACGAATCAAAAATTGAGACTCATTAAGCTTAAATAATAAGAGGTTTGTTATCAAAGAAATCAGGAGGTCTGGAAGAAGAGGCATGCTGGTGATGGTCAGCTAAGTGGCTCCATGACATTTAGGACCTATGTTCTTTCCACCTTTCTGCTCTGCCAACCTCAGTTGTCACTTAGCTCCCTCCAGGTTTCAAAATGGCTACAGCAGTTCCAGGCATCCCATCCTCACATCAGCCAATGTCCGGAGGCAGAAAATAGTGACTGTCTCATCCTTGCATAAAAGCAAAGAAGTCATTCCCAGGAATCACCCCCTGCTAACTGGCCAGCAGAGGGTCATATGTCATTTCCTAAGTCCATCACTAGCAAGGGAATATAATTTCCATGACTGGTTTAAACTAATTAAAATCTACCTGTATGGGGATGAGAGGGGCCTAGCCTTTCCAGAGGTCTTATAGAGGAATGTGGATTCTTGAAGAACTTCAAGGTTCTGATGGCAAGGAAGAAATGGGAATGGTGACTGATTAGGCATTTTGATATACTATCATCCTAAAATCATTTTAAACTAAAAAGTAAAGCATCATCACATTATGGAACTTGTCCTTTTTCCTTACTCAGTTACATCAAAAATGTCTGTCAGAAAACTAAGACAATTTTGGCCAAGTTTGGTGGCTCACTCCTAGCAGTTTAGGAGGCCGAGGCAGGTGGATTTCTTGAGCTCAGGAGTTCAAAATCAGCCTGGGAAACATGGCGAAACCCCATCTCTACAAAAAATACAAAAATTGACTGGGCCTGGGAGAACACACTGTAGTCCCAGCTACTTGGGAGGCAGAGGCATGAGGACCACCTAACCCCAGGGAGGCTGTAGTAAGCCGTGATCGCACCATTGAGCTCCAGCCTGGGTGACATATTGAGACCATGTCTTAAGAAAGAAAAAAAAAAGAAAAGAAAATTAAGAAAAATTTAATAGTAAATTAGGAAAAAAAAGTGCTCAGTGTTGGTGGGGGTGTATTGATGTAACCTTACTCATTGTTGAGAACACCACAAATGACATTCAACCTTTTGGAAATCCACTTGACAATACATATGGAGGCACAACAATATTCATGTGACCTAGTAATTTTACTTCTAAGAAATCAATCCAAAGTAGAGAAAAACTGTCAACACAAAGATATTCTAGTATTATTCAAGGCAACAAAAATTTGGCAACAACTAATGGGGTGTGCCATGGCATAGTGGAAAAGGCAGTGACTTGGGATTCAGCAAGCTTGAGCACAGCTCTTACTTTTACCACCTACTTGTAGCCAACCACTACACTTGTCTGAATTTGCAACAGCAATTATTATATTCGAGTTGTGGGATTGTTCAAGGGTTAAAGAAAATGAATACAGAGCCCTAATTACATAGTAGGCACACAATAAGGGGTACACACACACCATCTAAAACCAAGGAAATCGACCAGGTGCTGTGGCTCATGCCTATAAACCCAGCACTTTGGGAGGCCGAGGTGGGTGGATCGCCCGAGGTCAGGAGTTTGAGACCAGCCTAGCCAATATGGTGAAAGCTCATCTCTACTAAAAATACAAAAATTAGCTGGGTGTAGTGGCACATGTCTGTAATCCCAGATACTTGGGAGGTTGAACTTCTTGAGCCTGGGAGGTGGAGGTTGCAGTGAGCCAAGATCATGCCACTGCACTCCAGCCTAGGCAACAGACTGAGACTCCATCCAAAAAAAAAAAAAAAAAAAACCAAGGAAATCAAGGTTAACTCCTTTATAGACTTATGCAGGCATTAATATTTATATTAATTAAGACTTTCAACCAGCAGAAAAACCTGTTAATACAATAATAGTAAATGAAAAATCAGGATAACAAATTACTACCATGTTTAAATTAATCCTACACAATGAAAAAAATCCTCACATGCCAACATGCTGATAGGGTTATGTTAGGCTTAATAGGATGATGGGTAATATCCCCTCATTTTTTCTGTATCCTGACATTACATTTATAGTAAAAATAGTTTTTAAAAATACAAACCTATAAAAGAGTCTGAGACAGTCTTTTAGTATTTACTTTTCCCTTTTCCTTCTCTGTGAACACATCTGAGAAAAATTCTGCCACCCCTTTTTGGTGGTCTAATCTAGATGTATCCAAGATTGAGCTTTCTGTCCCGTTTTCTGCATCAGTTGATTTCTTTTCATGTTTTTCTAGGAAAGTTTTCTTCTGCTGTTTCCCCCTTTCTAGCTTTCTTCATGCACATTGGCCTCATTGTGTTAGTGTAATTTTCCCTCTCCGATATTCTGTCAATATTCTCTGTGAGCCTTTCATTCGTTCTTCATTCCTATTTTGTCTCTTAAATTGCCTTGCATTGATTCTACTCCTCACCGTCTTCTTCATGTCTTTTTTCCTGCAATTGCCTATCGATCTTGTCTATCTTGAAGGCTGAGAAGGACTTTCTGTTCATTAATTACTTGGCTTACTTTCACCTATTCTCCTCCTGTCTAGAAAATTACTCATCTCCATACACCCTTAGCAAGACTACTGAGATGTGCTCAAATTGCTGGAAAGCTAAAGAACAAGGTCAGAAGGCAGGTAGGAGCCACGGGAAGCTGAGTAGCTTTGAGGTCATGCCATAGAAGCAGTCTGGCTAGGACACTGTCACAGGCGTAGCAGCTATTGTCACTGCTGGACATTGTCACTGAAAATGGATTTAAACTGCCCTTGTGCTTTCATACTCAGCTGAGAATCAGAGTTGGGGTTGGAACACCTGACAGATGGATCTAGGTCAGGTGTCCATACCCTTCTGGCTGCCAGTGGGGAGACCGGTCTTCCCTGTTTGGCTTTCATGGTGGGAGATTGGACAGCCAAGCCTCATACAAAGAAAGGTCCCCGCCATGGGAAGAAAGTTCAGATCCTGACCGAGAATAAACAAATAAGTAAAAACAGAAAACCAGTGTCTTCTGCACTTTTCAGAATCCCGTGGTCCCAAAGGCAAAGAGCCTGGACTTTATACTGTTATTCTACAGTGCAGATACCTTCTGTTAAGTAGAATTCACCTATGCAGCATTTTCTTTTTGCCTTTTCATGAGGAATTCTCTAGCTCTGGCATCGTATTGCGAGCTAAGAGGATACCTTTCACTTTCCTCTTATTACTATAATGACCTTACTTCACGCTGGGTTTTGCTTATCTCTCTCCACAAAGGCAGCTTTTTCTGTAATGGCTTGGTCCATTGCTGATTCTCAAGCATGTCTGTCTCTTCTCCCATACCGACCCCTCCCTGGCATATGCACCGTTCGGCAGAATGTTAACTAACGCTCTTTTTCCATTAAACTAAAAGCTCCTTGAGGGCACATATTGCCTCTTTACCCTTAACACCTAGTACTGGGCCTGGCACATATCATACATAATGAATGAATGAATGAATGAATGAATGAATGAATGAATGAATAAACACATGTTCCCTCTTCTGTATTTTTAGTTCAGTGTTTTACAGCAAACACGTGTCCTGTATTTCCTGGAACCATTGGTGGTGAAATTTTCTTCTTTTCAATAAAAAATACTCGTTAACTGTCTAACTAGATATGCTTCATTTCTGTACAATTATAAAGCTTTCTTTATCAATACCTTCTTAGGTCATAGATGATTCATTGTGAAGCCACATTTCAATTTTGGTTCAGAAAAAGGTAATTCCTGTAATTATCATCAGAGATAGCATACAATTCTTGAAATGCTATTTAAAAAAAGGAAAAGCACCTTGTACAATTTCTTCTCACAAAGACCAAAAATAAAACCTCAAATGGAAATGTTTGAGTCTTAAATATATGTCTCTTGTTACCTTATCTATTTTTTATGACAAATGTAAGGGAGTGGGGATGTTAGCTTATGCGGAAGCCAGATCTATTACTGGGGTCAGATTTCTTTGTAGACTGTTGGGCAGCTCCCTGATGGATGTCCCCTATATGGGGCTCCCACTCAATATCTGGCCTGTGTCCTTTGGCCTGAAGGATGTGTTCTGCAACCATAACTCAGGGAAATAATTCTCCACCCTATCTGACCACCTTTTGATGATTACATTCTTTAACGACTTCTTTTACTATTCTAAAATAAAATTCATGAGAAACATAACCTATCTACACACACATTTTTAAAAACACCAAAAAATACTCTAACTGGAATATAAAGAAGACATAAAAGGAGATTAATTTATGATGCACTCTTGTGCATTTCAATAAGTATTAAAGGCTCAACACAACCATTCTAGAAGACAAAAGGAAGTCATAAGACACTTCACCTCTCAGCATGAATGTGTGGCAGCTAGGAGCACAGGTGAGTAGAGGTGTGTATGTGGAATGGTGAATACTATTGGCTATATTCCAAATAAAACTTAATAAAAGCTTCCCTTAATTCATATAGTAGGTGTATTACTGGGAAATTCACTAATTAAAAACTATGCCCCAGCACTTTGGGAGGCTGAGGCGGGCAGATCACGAGGTCAGGAGTTCAAAACAAGCCTGGCCAACATAGTGAAACCCCGTCTCTACTAAAAATACAAAAAAATTAGCTGGCATGGTGACAGGCCATTTGTAATCCCAGCTATTCGGGAGGCTGAAGCAGGAGAATTGCTTTGAACCCAGGAGGTGGAGGTTGCAGTGAGCAGAGATGGTGCCACTGTACTCCAGCCTGGGCGACAGTGCGAGACTGTGTCTCAAAAAACAAACAAACAAAAAAACTATGCCAAAATTTTGGGGGCTTGTGTGCAAAATAGAGTAAGGATCTATGTTCAAAAAATTGGAAAACTTTTTATATTTTTATTATGAAAAATTTCAGACATATAGAAGAGTTGAAAGAATAGCACAATAAATACTGGTATATATCCAAAAAGGTTGAACACAAATTCAACCATTTTTTTCCCAGAATCATTTGAAAGTGATGAAACATATCACAATTTATTTCACTATGTAGCTTCTAAAAATGACATTGTCCTACATATTTATGATACCATTATAACATCTAAGAAAATTAACAATTTCATAATACCGCCTGATATCTAGTCCATAAACAAATTTCTCCAGTTGACCCAAGCATTATTTTCAAGGCTGATTTTTAAAAATCAGGATCCAATCAGCATTCACCCATTATATTTGTTATATTTTACTAGTTTCTTTTAATCTAGAATAATCCCTTCATCTTTTTCTCCCATGACATTGATTTTTTTTTACACATCTGCCATTGGTTTTTGAAAACAAATTTGCCTTTCCTTTCTTATAATTGGAATCAATCATTCATCCAAGGATCTCTAATTCCATGGACAGAGCTAAGGCTGTGTGTGTACTTTTTTGTAATTGAGTTCATAAGCTACTTCCAATTCAAATAAAACATTGCAGAGATTTATCCTTTACATCTATTTTCTTAAGTTGACAATTTTGGTTCCTAATAACGTATATTCACTTATTTACTTTCGCCCTCAACATTAAAAAAATACTTTAAAAAAGACCATACCTGTAGATGTTATGTACATCCTGAAGTCTGTTCATATCAGTCTATCTAATTCTTTTCTTAATGGCTACATTATATTGTATTGTGTAGACGCACCTTAGTTTATTCAACCAGTGACACATTTATGGATGTTTGTATTGCTTCTAATCTTTTTAAAATTACAACAAATGCTGCCATTAATAACCCTGTATACATACTATTTTGTATTTGTGGAGGGGTAACTTACGAGTGGATTCTAGAAGTGGGATCACTGGGCAAACATTTAGAGTTTTAGAGTTTGCCAAATTCTCCTCCATAGAAGTTGCACCATTTTGCCTCCCCACCAGCAGTGTATAATAACATGTTACAAAAGGTTTTTCGTCTACACAAACATCCATATTGTACTGAAAAAGCCATGAGGGATACAGGACAATCCTTCCTTGGACATGGGGCAGTTCTCTATTCTGTGCACTGTCTGCCCACTGCAGGGTGTTGACTGTCCCTGGGCTCTGCCCTCTAACTCCCAGGAGGACCCTCACTTTACAACAACCCCAAAACTCCAGTGCAAATGCCCAAAATGCTCCATTAAGAGCGCCTCTGCTCCAGATACTCTAAAATCTACTCTTGGGATGAAGACAGGCCCTTAGAAAGCTGTGTAGTCAGGCCACATGGTTTTTTGCTTCCCGTATAATTGTTTTTGCTGACTTGCACTTGACATTATTGTATTTGCCAAGGACATGAGGTGAAGCAGCCCTATGAAGCTGCAAGTCAGAACTTCTGTGGGGATGCTCTTGCTCACGACATCCTACTGGGCTCTCTTTCCAAGGACACTGGGAGAAATGCCTCTCTCGTATAGATCCTGGGAGAGTTTTGTTTCTCTTGCCATTGTCCTCTGAATACAATGCATCACAAACTTGATCTCGCTCTCCTGTTTGTACTGGATGCTAGAACATGACTAGGCCAGTCTGTGCTCTGTTTCTGGCTTGGACACAGGATTTTACAATGGCATTTTGTGGACAAACCATCCCTAGATCTATCTTATTTTCCTATAGTCTTCATTTCTCCTTGTCTTATTTTCCTGACTCACCTTTTTAAAAAAATCAGTGGATTATATGATTTTCTAGTGTAATTAAATGATTTTCTAAGTTGCCTTGAAGAAATAAAAATTCAGCACCAGCCTCACAGAATTGTTGTCAGGATTATGCATGTAGGGCAGCTAGCCATGCCTGGCAGAAAAAAGGAGCAAGTAGTCCCTGCATCAGTCCTGTGTTCCTATCCCTCCACCTCCACCCCATACCCCTCCCACCAAAGCACACCTGCTCTCCACGACTAATGACAATGTCCGTGGATTCACTGAGTCCTACTTCTCCCTTTCTAGTTAGGTGCCCAGATGAGCTTTTGTTTTTGTTTTTGTTTTGTTTTTTTTGAGATGGAGTCTCACTGCAACACTCAGGCTGGAGTGCAACTGTGCCATCTTGGCTCACTGCAACCTCCACTTCCTGGGTTCGAGCAATTCTCCTGCCTCAGCCTCCTGAGTAGCTGGGACTACAGGTGCCTGCCGCCACGCCTGGCTAATTTTCATATTTTTAGTAGAGACGGGGTTTCACCATATTGGCCAGGCTGGTCTCGAACTCCTGACCTCAAGTGATCTGCCCCCCCCTTGGCCTCCCAAAGTGCTGGGATTACAGGTGTGAGCCTGGTCAAGATGAGCTTTTGAACGTGAACAAAATGTGTGTGTCTGCATGACATGGGCCACACAGTAGGTTACTTTCTTTACAGCACGACAGTAAATGTTTTTTCTGCATTAAGGAATGGATAGCTGTTCTTGTATCTGAAGATACTTGAACACGAGTGTATTAGTCAGGGTTCTCCAGAGAAACAGAACCAATAAGAGATATCTGTATATAAGTCTATATAGAGAACTATAGATAGATCATACAGGTATAGATACATAGAGAAAGAGTTGAAAAAACCAACTGTTTTTCCCATTATACTCTCACAACACAGAATGCTCCTGTAACCAAATGTGTGTGGGTTCCCCCCACCCCCAACTCCCCGCCACACCCAACAAGTGAGCAATTCTGCGGCAGACATCAGCTGGGTTTGCTCTAATTCAATTCAATTCAATGCTGATACTCCCTATCTACCTGCGGGGAGATCCCACAGGGTGAGAGCTCAGTCCCACAAGACTGCTCTGCCCTTCAGACTCCATTTGTGAGTCCCGGACTTCCAGAACTTCTGGCCAACAGGCTATACATTGGGGTGCCCATGACCCTTTCCTCAGATGTAATTAATGTGCTAGGGTGGTTCACAGAACTCAGGGAAACACTCTAACAGTTCCCCGTGTATTACAAAGGTGATTTTAAAGGATACAAGGGAGCAGCCGGATGAAGAGATACAGAGAACGTGGTCTGGAAGGGTCTTGAGTGCACGAGCTTCTGTCCCCGTGTAGTAGTTGGGAGCCATCCTCCTGGTATGCGGATGAGTTCTTGTTTACCAACCTGGAAGCCCCCTGAACTCAGTACTTCTGGGTTTTTATAGAAACTTTGTTATATAGCATGATTGATTATATCATTGGCCATTGGTGATCAACTCGACCTTCAGCCCCTCTCCCCTCCCCAGAGGTGGAGCGAGGGACTGAAAGTTCCAATCCTCTAACACTTGGCTGGTTCCCGTGGCAACCAGCCCCCATCCTGATGCTATCTAGAGGTCCCCAGCTGACTAGTTATCTCATTAGCACACACAAAATACTCTTATGACTCCAGAGACTCAAAGGATTTTAGGAGCTGTACATAAGGAAACTGGGAAAAAGATCAAATATATATATATATTTTACATCATCACATACACATATAAAAAGATATTTGTTATAAGAAATCAGCTCACATCTCACATGATTATGGAGATTGAGAAGTCCCGAAGTCTGCAGTTGGCAAGCCGCAGACCCAGAAGACCGGATGGTGCAATTCCAGTCTGGGTCTAAAGGCCTGAGAATCAGAAGAGCTGACAGTGTGAGCTCCAGCCTGAAAGCCAGCAGGCTTGAGATCCGGGAAGAGCCAATGTTTCAGTTTGAGTCCAAAGGCAAGAAAAAATCCAATGTCCCAGCTCACAGGCAGTCAGACAGGATGAGTTCCTGCTGTCTCAATCTTTCTGTTCCATTCAGGTCTTCAGCCGATTGCATGAGGCCCATTCACATGAATCTGCTGTACTCAGGCTACTGATCCAAATGTTAATCTCATCACAGAAACACCCAGAATAATGTTTGGCAAAATGTCTGGGCATCCCGTGGCCCAGTCAAATTGACACATACAATTCACCGTCACAATGGGGATCTCTTCAGTGGGCCCAGAGTGCAGTGCCTGGACTTATGAAGGAGCATGGGGCAGGTGGTTTATTGCAGTTGATCACCCTTTCCCTTCATCCTTCTCTACCCTAACATTTCTCATTCCAGCTCCTTCTGCCTTTCTGGCTTTCTTGCCTGGATGACTCAGAACGCTGGCCCCTATTCACCCACATGTAACTTGGTCAACTTTATTGTAATCATGATATTTTTTCTGGGAATGTATGCCCTTTTATTCTTCAGGCTGCCTGGTAATTTTACTGCAAAATCAAGCCAGCAATTTTCCCTTATTTTTTTCTCTAGAGATTCCTGTCCAAATGCATCATTTATTACCTTGTTTCCAAGATGCATTTCATACTCTTCAATCTCAGAAATCTGATATCCTGAAAAATTTCTTGCAGAGAGCCCCAGGAGCTCTTGCTGATGTTGCCACTGGATTTTCCCCCCGGATACAGAGCACTCTGAGTTGAAAAAAAAAACTTCCTGTCCTAAAGAAACATAGGATCTCACTGAGGGGGTCTAGGGTGGGGAAAGGAAGGATCTTTTCATTCAAAAGCAAAACAACTGAGTAACTGTTTTCAACATGGTAAAATAGCAGCTACTGTCGCTGTTGTTTCAGACATTATAAAAATGTCTTGTCATAGATAAATTATGGTCATGGTACATAAATGACCTCTTTGATTTCTTAAAAACCAATTTATGGTCATGCCTTTGTTAAAGGCATTGTTAACGTCCATTGGGCAGAAAGGACGTTAGAGTTTTTCTGGTGACATAGGCCACAGAGTCAAGTGACTTCCCTAAAGCCACACAGCTAGTTATGGGCAAAGCCGGGAAGACCACTCAGGTATTCTTGTTTTCACGACAAGTCAATATCTACAGATAACGCGTGAATGGCTGGAACAGTTCACAAGTGCAGACTTGTTTTGGTGATCCTAAAGCAGCCAAATTGGCATTTGATTTTGCATTTTTTTAAAAAGTAGGGCTTGGATGTATTGAAAACCAAAACATGACCTTCTGAAATATGAGCTGTATGAAGTCAAGGACTGTTTGCAGATGAGACAAGTGGTACTTTTGCAGCAAAAGGAAGTCCTTGAAATTGCACTGAAACCTGAAGAAAAGATTGAGAAAAACTAAGACCTGGTAATTGACTTCAACCCTGGAGACATTTGAGGTTTAATGGTGTCAAGAGATGGTTATCCAACTGATAATTTAACTCTCTCCCCTTCCTTTGATGCATGAAGATAGGGTTGGGCTGCTTCTTTTTTGAGAGTGGGAGTTGCAGAACACAGCAGAAGCTCAGAACTATCTTTTCCTCCTCTTTTCTACACTGAAGGATGTCTCTTTCAACATTTATCTGTGTATTTAAGAAAGACAGCACTTCACCTCTCCGAAGTCCTCCCAGCCTATCCAACCACCACCTGTCTCTAGGTACACTGTGGGCCTCCTAGGCGACATTTGAACATCTACCCAAGGGTGGACTTTTTTGACCACCATAGCTGTCTAAGTGTTGGGCACCAAAAGTAAACCAGCTCTGCAAATCACACCATCAGAGGAGAATGTCAGAAACCCAGGGTTGGCACAGAATTTAGCTGGCTGTCTTGAATCTCTAGTTTTCTTTTTGAACTTAGGATTTTATAATTTTCCTGTAATGTTTTTCTCCCTGTGCTTTATTTTATTTTCAAAGAACATACAATTCATTTATTTTCCAAAATAATGGGAGGAACTTGCCATGTAAGCAATACAAAAATGTTTTCTGAAAATGAATAATTCTGGTACTGTTTCTAGGACAACGAGGGGGATAAAATAAAATGAAAAAACAGAAGCTGGGAAAATGGTGTAAAAATTTGTGTAAATCTAGAAAGAACCATTATCTTTAAAAACTAAGTTAAAAATCTGATATTTGGCAATGGAGATTTTAATAATTCAGGTCACATTTAAATAAGTGTCCTGGGCAATTTATTGTTGCTAATGTCATGTCGATAGGTGTTAGACAAGTATAAAATAGAATGTTATAGAAATAGAATGTAATCATCCTTTTTTCCCAAGGGTAACTCAGAGTCTCCTGAGATAACACGTCATGTTAGCGTTTATGTATAAGCTACTCTTTCTTTGGAAATGTGTTAGAAAATTACCATATGGATAATACTTAAAATGTTCTTCCTTAAGTGTTTTGAGAAACAGGAGTCAAACAAACACCAGCCCCTAAGTCCCCCTGCCACCAGGAACTGAGACAGCTCCTGGTGGCTCATCTGAAACTCCTCTTATCAGCAACTTACTCAAAAATAGCTCAGGATGAAAGGTCTTTGTACTATACTGGTAATTTTTCTAAACATTTTAAATTGTTTCAAAATTGTAAAAGAAGCAGATATATATACACACACACACAAAATAAACATGTAGATACATATTTTAAAAACATAAATGAGGATGTGTGTCATACTATACCAAGCCTATAACCTGAGTTTTTCACTTAACATTATGTTATAAACATCACCATATTATATGCAACCTGTTTAACCGGTTCATTGTAGGTATATACCATAATTTAACCAAGCTCCTCTTGTACTTTTAGATCATTTCCATTATTTTAATATAATAGCTAATGCTCCAATGACCAAAACAGCTTTAGACAAAGACAGCATTGTTGCACATAATGAAATTCAGGGGTTTGGTTTATCTGCGAATTCACTAAACTGTAAGGAAGCCCTTAGCCCATTATCTGTTAGAGTCTATTACTCCATGAAAGCTAGAAAGGATTGATTTTCCTCCCCCTGCTTAACAGTTCTTTCTGACTAGGTCACTAACTTTGGAAGTGACATCTTGACGTTGTGAATTTTCTCCCACTTAACAAAGCTAGCACAAAATTCCTTTAAACAGTGACAGAGTGCATTAAATCAAGAATACAGCCATTGGCTTCACGATAAGAATGTTGCCAGTGCCACTGGGTTGTAACGAGAAGGCAGAAGTGACAATGCCCACAGCACTCGGCTGTGCATTCAGCTTTCTTCTGCTAGTGTATTAAAGGGAAACATCCTGATTTGTCTGGTCTTTTACAATATATTGTTTAATATTTTTGTCAAATTCTATCAAGCACCGGTATTCAATCACTGAGATATTGGGCCTCACACATGCTGAAAATTATAATAATGTCACTACATTTATACAATGGCTTATGTGTTTCTAATCCTTTTACTTTTATAATCTAATGTGATTCTTTTTTAATGAAAATAGAGTTTATTAACTTTTAATATAAACATGAGAAATAAAAACCACATAAATTGTAGCATTCTTTTCAAAATAAAACTGCAATCAATACTTGAATCTCCAAGCTCCGAATTCCATAAACAATTTTGTTTTTTGAGGTGGTAGATTGTAATATTTTTATACCGTTATTTATCATTTATGTCTCTGTCCTTTAAAAATGATGGAAACTGCAGCATAATATGATGTGAAGCATTGCTGTAGTAGAGGAAGTATTCCTGGCCCAGAAATGCTTTGTTTATAAGCAAGATTCCTAGGATTAGATTTGAGAAAGTAGGACAAATAGATTTCACATAGTTGAGAACACTAATCTCTTTTTAGTATTTCAAATTTAGGTGACATTATTGGTCTCCTAATATTATTTGCTCCTTGCCTTTTAAAGCCTGAAGTAAGAGTTCCTAAGGGTTATGTAAGTTATTTCTTAAATAGCAAGACTTAATGGGACACCTACAGCTTGGTAGCATGTAGTATGATAAAACAGCTGTTCATATCACCTTCTATCATTAGGGTCCAATTCCTTTTATTACATGTTAATTAACACTGATCTTCAAAATCTTCCTTTAAAGAAACTTTGGTGATCAAAGCATATAGAGCACAGCTCTGCAGGTAACTACTTTTAAAAAGAGGAAGGCATTTTATGGAGATACAAGGTATTCCAAAAGTTTAGGGTAATTGTAAGCTTTGATACTTATAGAAGTATAAATGCTACAAACCTTCACAATCCCTTGTTTGAACATTTTTCTTTTTTTTTTTTTCTTTGAGACAGGGTCTGGATGTCGCCCAGGTTGGAGTGCAGTGACATGATCATGGCCCACTGCAGCCTTGACCTCCTGGGCTTAAGTGATCCTCCCACCTAGGCCTCCAGAGTGGCTGGGACTACAGACACGTGCCACCATATCCAACTAATTATTTTTATTTATTTATTTATTTATTTATTTATTTTTTTTTATGGACAGGGTCTCACTATGTTGCCTAGACTGGTCTTGAACTCCTGTGCTCAAGCAATCCTCCCACCTCAGCCTCCCAAAGTACAGAGATTATAGGCATGAATCACTATGCCCAACCCATTTCTTTTGCATTTAGTTTTGCATTTTTCTAAGAGATGGGGTCTTGATATGTTGTCCAGGTTGGTGTGTAGTAGCTCTTCCTATAGGCACCATCATGGTACACTGCAGCCTCCAATACTTGACCTCAAGCAATCCTCCAGCCTCAGCCTCCCAAGTAGCTGGGACTACAGGTGTGCACCACCACACCCAGCTTCAATTTGCAAATTTTGAATATAAAGCTTTTAATTTTTTGCCTCAGTCAATGTCTACTATCTTCAAGAGTGACAGAAACAAAAAATTAAAGCTTAATATTCAGGAGACAAGTGCCAGGTGTGCCTGTAGTCCCAGCTACTTGTGTGGCTGAGGCTAGAGGATGGCTTGAGGTTTTTTTTAAGAGATGGGGTCTTGCTGTGTTGTCCAAGCTGGAGTGCAGTGGCTGTTCACAGGTGCAATCATAATGCATTGCAGCCTAGAAC
Organism: Homo sapiens; assembly: GCF_000001405.40. Taxonomy (NCBI): domain Eukaryota; kingdom Metazoa; phylum Chordata; class Mammalia; order Primates; family Hominidae; genus Homo; species Homo sapiens. Next base: position 15,847,584 of record NC_000006.12, read on the forward strand.
TTCCTGGCCTCTAATGTGATTCTTAAGAACTCTCTAAGAAGTAGGCCAGGTGCAGTGGCTCAAGCCTGTAATCCCAGCACTTTGGGAGGCTGAGGTGGGCAGATCACAAGGTCAGGAGTTCGAGACCAGCCTGACCGACATGGTGAAATCCTGTCTCTACTAAAAACACAAGATAAAATTAGCCGGGCATGGTGGCACACACCTGTAATCCCAGCTACTCAGGAGGCTGAGGCAGAAGAATCACTTGAACCTGGTATGCGGAGGTTGCAGTGAGCCAAGATCGCGACACTGCACTCCAGCCTAGGTGATAGACGAGACTCTGTCTCAAAATAATAATAAAAAGGTGTGATGGGGGAAGATACTACCATTCTCATTTCATTGATGATGGATACTAGAATGAGAGTGGGATTGTTGCTCAAAGTTACAATGCCAGGAAGAGGCACAGCTGGGACTGATGCTTAGGTTTTCTAGCCATTTGCTCAATATTCCTGGATGCCCAGTGTCTCCCCACCTTGCCGTCTATCTCTCTCATATTTCCATCTGGTACAACCCTCTACCCAGTTCTTCAACCCACTCTTTCCTTTGTTTTCATCACTCTCATATCCTATATGGTACCGTCTTGCCCATTCTACTTTCAAACCACATCCCACATATGTTCTATTTGCTCCCTGTCTATCATATACATCCCCATCCAAGCTAGCATCGCTTCTCACCTGAGCAACAGTAATAGCTGCCTGTCTGGCCTCTGGCTCCCACTCTTACATCCCCATGTCTATTCTGTACATAGCAGCCAAGTGACTTTCTTAAAACACACATCAAACCCTGTTCCTTCCCTGCTCAGAACCCTTGAAATGCCCTTTGAATGAACTCAAAACTCTTCATCCCAGCCACCAATACACTAAGCCACACATGACCTGGTCTCTGCCTGTCTCTGATCTTCTCCCCACATCTCCCACCATCTCTCACTTGCTCTATCATATGTCACAGCTAGGCTTAGCTTTCTGCCTATTACTGTTAGGTTGGTACAAAAGTAATTGTGAATTTTGCCATTAAAAGTAATGGCAAAACCTGCGATTTCTTTTTCACCAACCTAATAGAACATGCTAAGCTCACTCCTGTTCTAGTCTCTCATGACCTGAAGCTCTCTGGGCCTAGTCCTTCCACCATCCGGATCCTTCTTGTCATCCAGGTCTCCGCTGGAAGACCGCCCACCCTGAGCGGCCAAACTGAAGGGGACTCTGTCACCCTTTTCCACATTACCCTGTTTTACCAAATTGTCATTACTTTGTATTTTGATTAAATGTCTATCTTGATTTACTAAATACACTCCATTTATTTAACAAGCATTTACATAGCATCACTATGAGCCTGGCATTTTTCTAAATGTATTAGCTATATTAACTCATTTAATCTTCGTAACACCCCTTTTATTTTTCAGATGAGGAAATGGAGGAAAAGAAACTTCTTCAAGGTCACCTAGCTCATAAATGGCAACACCAAGATTTAAATTGAAGTAGTTTATCTCGAGAGTCCTTGCTTTTGGATGGGAGTCTTGTCGATCACATTCAACCCTAAATACCCATCATGTAGAACAGTGCCTGGCACACAGTAGGCACTCAATAAATATTTGTTGAATGACTGAATGATGTAGTGGTTTCAAAGGAGACCCTAACCCTGGGTCTCCATGAGCTTGCCCTTGGGTATACCCTATCACCTGTCTGATCCTTAGACCTTTGGTATTCAGAATCTGGCCTGGCTAACATTTTTTGAGATATTTCAATACAACTTCATCTTCAGCCAGAGTAATGTTTGAAATTAAAGCTATCCTCTGCTTGAAATCTACACAGTCACAACCAACATGTACGTGATGATGTATACATTTCTATGGTACTTTTCAAATGCATCTTCTCATGTAACAATAGTGCAAGGAAAGAAATCATTCCAAAGCCCTTCAGGAGAGTAGGAGAGACTGAAGTAGTCATTGTCATTACCTCAGCAGGTTAATATAATAGCTTTTCACTCGCATTTAAATCCAGAGGAGAGAAACCACATGATATGCATTTGCCTGTGTCGGTAACATCCGCAGGGAACATTTACCTTTATTACTAAGGCTAATTTTGGGTTGATAGAGTTAGATCTTACTGAGAATGTCTAGTTATGAAGTTTTTTAAAAAAAAAAAGTGGGAAAAGTTAAATCTTATGGCAAGGCCAGGCTGAGCCAAGTTTCATTAAATAATGGTGTATTGTTATAAAATATCAGGCAGGGCACAGTGGCTCATACCTGTAATCCCAGCACTTTGGGAGGCCAAGGTGGGCAGATCACTTGAGATCAAGAGTTGGAGACCAGCCTGGGCAACATGGCGAAACCCTGTCTCTACTAAAAATACAAAAATTAGCCGAGCATGGTGGCATATGCCTGTAATCCCAGCTTCTTGGGGTGCTGAGGCACGAGAATCACTTGAACCCAGGTGGCAGAGGTTGCAGTGAGCTGAGATGGAATGCACGACTACATTTCAGCCTGGGTGACAGAGTGAGACTCTGTCTCCAAAAATAAATAGATAAAAAATCATCTCCCACCTTTCTATACTTTCCTTATTGTTTCCCAGAGCGCTCCTGTCACTCCACGGCCATCAGCCCACTCTAGAACGTTTCCCTTATTTCTCTTAAGCCCGCCCTTTCCCAGTTATCCTAGGCTTTACACAGTAATAGGTATATACTTCCCCTTAAAACTTACCTCTCCTGTGTCCTTGTACCTCATGGGGTCACTAAGTCGATAACTAGTTCTGATAATGAGTCATCCCAAGCCTTATGCAAAAGCCCCTTTCTCCTTGATCCACTTTGGTCCAATGTCTTCTGTTTTGCATTACCGTCGCAGTCTGCTTCACTGGGTTACAAGCAGCGTGAAGCTCGTTTTGTGTAGTCTGGGCTTTGATGGCAAACTGCCTTGGTTCGAATCTTTGCTCTGCCACTTGCTATATGTGTAAAACCTTGGCAAAGTATTTCATCTTTCTGTGCAATTATTTCTTCTACAAATTAGGGATAACAGATCACCTGTCTCAGAGGATTGTTTTGCATGTTGTATTACTGCATGTAATGCAGTAACATGCTGCCTGGCCTGATACAAGTATTATGTTACAAGTATTATCAGTATTATGTTATTATTATTATTATTATAATATGTTAGTATCATTATTGTTGAAAACAGTGACAGTTTTTCTACTCGTCACAGCTCTTGTATACAAAATTGGCACTCGATAAATGTGTAGTGGAAACAGTCTCATTGGTTTTCTTCATTACCAGTCTCAATGGCTTAATGTATTATTCATCTCAAAGAATACTATACCACAAATGACTTAACGGACACCTAATATAAATTTGCAAAAGAATAATAATTTTTGCAATAATAAAAACAAAGCATGATATTGTGAAATGAATGACTATTTTTTCCCAGTGTGAGAGATGAAATTGTTTGCAACATTTTAATGAGTTTGGCTCAGTCCAGCTGGGTAGAATTGTTAATCAGTGTCTGCATCTCGATGACCCATCACCTTCAAGGTCATCGGGAATGGTGACCTTTTAGCTAGTTTAGGAGGTTCAGCTCAAAGATGAACCCAGAAATGATGGAGAATTGCTGTTAATTCTATAATCCAGCCTAGCTCAGTTAAATCCAGCTAATATCACCTGAACTGCAGGTTACTTACAGATATGTGAGTATAAAATTGAATGTTTATTATTTTATCCACTGAGATCTTAGAATTATTTGATATACAGAACTGTCACAGTAAAAACCTTTCTAATACATGCATTGGTACCAGAAGCAGGGTTTTGCCTGTAATATGTGGCTATGGCTTTGGGATCAGAAAGCAAGTAGCAAAACAATGACAGAGGTTGGAAAAATGGTGACCCATGTTATGTGGTAGCAAAACACTTGGTAAAATTGTCACCTGACAAAATTGGGAAGGCAAATAACATAGCTCATTAAATGATGAGAGGAGTAGGAAGTTTTGAGGCAGAATGTTGACAGTGTGAGCTGGTTGTTACTGTACTAAAAGAAAGGAATAGGTTCAGAAAAGAACTGTTTGGTTTCAAAGTAGAATAGAGAGGAAATAGAGAGAGGCCAAAGATTTTGGAACTTTCCAGGATGAAAAATCAAACTGTTTCTCATCTCCAACCAGTAAAAGAGAAAATTGAAAAGTTCTTTGAGTTTAAAAGCTTACTAAGGCTCAGCCTCTGGGGAAAGACTGAATCAAGCTTTTAAAAGATCATTGCAAGGATTAAAGAGGTAGCTATAGATTTTTTTCCCCAGTGGGACATAATGGACCTGACATATTGGAAGTCTGATATATTGCAGTAGCTATTAATAAGTATATTGCATGTCTCAAAACAAATTGTGGGTATAACTTGTCACATAGAGTTGTTGAGAATGAAATACAAAAAGTCAACAAAGTTTTTGAGTGAGGTATCTTGCGCAAAGCACCCTAGGCTGGCTTAAAAGAGATGTGACTATTAACAAGCTAAAAAGAAAAACAAAAACAAAAACAAAAAAAGACAAACTTGATTCTCCAACTTTCTACCCGTAGGAAGCAGGCTCAGAAAGCTCCCCAGCTGCCAAAAAGGTAGTAGGGTGACAAGGTTTGCCTGGGATTTTCCTGGTTTTAGCACAGAAAGCCCTGCAACCCAGGAAACTCTCAGTCCTGGACAAGTTGGGACAGTTGATCACCCTTCTAAGAGGGCATATTCTACAGTGCTATTTTTACGTAGCCAAGAAAGATATTGAAAACAGAGGGACATCCGTAGAGTACAGTCAAGAGTCATGGAGAACAATGGACTTGGGACTTATTCCCAGGAAGCAGAAATGAGGCTTAATTAAGGAACATTTCCTATCCCTTAGGTAGGGGGAGCCTGATAAGATTTCAGAATTGCTATGGGCCCCTGACTACTCACATCCTTCCTTGACCTACCTTGCTTAAGAGCAGTGGTTTCATTTGTCCTTCTCTGGTGTGCCAGAGAATTCTCAGGCCTCATTTGGAATTTCCCCAAAGATCTCTTATGAACTAAATGATTGGCTGAGACAACTTATAAAAATGGGTAGGTTTATTTTACCTCATTTGGTACACATTTGGTAACAGCATGCTGTTACCAAAGGTGACAGTTTTCTTTCTATGTGGCAATAGGGAAATTTGCTGGGGCATCTCAGGATAACAACCTAAAGCTGAAGGCCTGATCTCACTTTGTTCCCTTCGCATTTTCAATTCATGAAAGAGAGCATTTGATGAAGCTGTTTGGAGCAAATTGGTGTGAGTCATCTCTTTTTGCCTTGTTTGCACCAGCCATCTCGGAGGTGTCTGGACTGCTTCAGGTCCAGCCTATGTAGGTTTCTTCTCCCTTATGCACACCTCCTGCTATAATCTGATGTGGTTAGAGTGGGAAGCAGCTGACTCTGCCTTCCTAAGACGCTGAGAAAAACTGAGACAGAAAAAAGCATTCAGGATATAGGCATTCCTCAAAAGGTGAGTCTGTAGAGAGTCATAAGACTCTTTTAATCCATTCTGCAAAGTCTTAAAGAAAGGTATGGTGATGTGGAGATTTCATGTATCCTGGTGAGACTGAGAAGTACAGAAAGAGAGGGGCTAAAAAGGCCTTTTAGCTGTTCTATCATTATATGGGTAAAACCAATCAAGATGTGGTACAGACGATGCTGTGTGGTCACTAAATCTCATTTCCTTTTCTTTCTCCTAGGCACAAAGGAATATATGCTTCTCAGCTTCTTCTTCTTCTTTTCTTCTTCTTCTCCTCTTCTTCTTCTTGTTCTTGTTCTTCTTCTTCCTCTTCCTCTTCCCTTTCCCCTTCCCCTTCTGCTTCTCCTTCTTCTTATTCCTCTTCTTCCTCCTCTTCCTCCTCTTCTTCTCCTTCTTCTCCTTCTTCCTCTTCTTCTTCTTCTTCTTCTTCTTCTTCTTCTTCTTCTTCTTCTTCTTCTTCTTCTTCCTCTTCTTCTTCTTCTTGTTCTTCTCCTTCTCCTCCTTCTCCTTCTCCTTCTCCTTCTCCTTCTTCTTCTTTTGAGACAGTCTCACTCTGTCACACAGGCTGGAGTGCAGTGGCATGATCTCAGCTCAATGCAACCTCCACCTTTCAGGTTCAAGCGATTCTTGTGCCTCACCCTCCTGAGTAGCTGGAATTACAGGCACTTGCCGCCATGCTAATTTTTGTATTTTTAGTAAAGATGGGGTTTCACCATGTTGGCCAGGCTGGTCTCGAACTCCTGACCTCAAGTGATCCACCCGCCTTGGCCTCCCAGAGTGCTGGGATTACAGGTGTGAGACACTGTGCCCATCCCTCAGCTTCCTTTACAGTTAGTTTGGGGCCATGCTACCAGATTTTATTATATTGTATTTTATTTTTTCTGTCTTTTTTTTTTTGAGATGGGGTCTCACTGTGTTGCCCAGGCTGGAGTGCAATGGTGCAATCATGGCTCACTGCAGCCTTGGCCTGCTGGGCTCAAGTGATCCTCCCACTTCAGCCTCCTCAGTAGCTGGGAGGTGTGTGCCACCACATCTGGCTAATTCTTTTTATTATTGTTTTGTAGAGACGGGATCTTGCCATCTTGCCAGGCAAGATGCATAAAACAGAAAGAAAAGGTGCTTCCCAGAGCCTTGCAAGGTCCCCATGCAGGTCTGGAATTCCTGGGCTCAAGTGATCCTCCTGCCTCGACCTCCCAAAGTGTTGGGATTCCAGGTGTGAGCCACCATTCCTGGCCTTATGCTACCAGGCTTTAGACAATGGCTATAAAACCCCTGTGTCATTTTCCACCAGCTCTGTGTTCTCTCTCCCTCTTTCACAGCTACCTTCCATTAGAGCTACCTGCCAAATTTTGGATGGCAGCACCCCAAGATGAAAGGAGCTTGGATCCCCAAGTCATTATTTGGAGGAGAGCCTCTGCAAAGAACTGCCTGCTGTGCACTGGACTGTGAGGTAAAAGGAATGTAAACCTGTGTCTTATTAAACCATGGAGCTTTGGGGATTGTTTGTTATAGCAACCGGCACTAATTATCCTGACTAGTATAAAAGGCTAAGGAAATGAAAATAGAGACTCCACCAGACAGTTTTTCCTCTTAGCTTAAACTGAGCAACTAGTTTTAAAGTGTCATCACTTCACTGGCATTAGAATTTATCATCCTTGTGTAATTGATTGGCCTCTCAGTTCTTGATTTGAAGTTGGGTGGTAGAGAGAGGGAGGAGGTGCTAGGTTGAAGTTCATGTCGTTGAAATCCTCATTCAAAGTACCAAAATTGAGCAGCAGAGGTCAAGAACATAAAAATATTTATGTGTAAGAATCAAAACACAACAGTAACATGCCTAAGTTATTTTACTTTTCTGGATTTTAAGACAACTATTCATGTCCAGTCCCCAGGGGATCCCCCTCCTCATTCCAGTTACTATTCGTCATTCATTCCCAGAGCGCCCAATTACAAAGTATGATGTATTTATTTCTCTTATTGAAAATAAACATTAAACATGAAAAGTTAATACTGGACCTAAGAGCATGCTGGGAGTTGAAACGAGCTCTAAAGTCTTGCTGAGGCAAAGATTCTGACTGTGTCTTAAAGCCCTAATATGGTCCTTAGCAAGCAACAAAAATGAACCTGCTCCCAAAAGCATTGACCTGGAAGTGTGTCTTTGTTGCTTAAGTTATGATTACAACTTCCCAAGCTGGTTTTATTAATGAGCTCTAAATGGAAGTGTTTATCTCAGGAGGAAGTACTGTTTCTCCCTCTTGTCCCTGGTGACACGCTAAACATACTAATTGATATGAAGCTGATTTTTAGGAGACAGGAAAGCCCTGAGGCCTTTGTCACATTGACAATCATGGCTAGACTCATTACAGGGCCTATCAAATCAGGGCGGGAAACAGGCTACTCACACTTTGCGGCATCCCTGGAGTGTGGGCTTTGCTGTGCTTTGTCATTCAACATATGCTTGAGAAAGTGCTTCCCTCTTTTACTTGGCCATATTACCTGCATGGGGACCTTGCAAGGCTCTGGGAAGCACCTTTTCTTGCTGTTTTATGCCAAATTTTACATCACTGTATTATACTGCCTTCAGTTTCATCAGTCATTGGATGAAGAGGATTAGGCAATTACGTCTTCAAAAATGGGATAAACTGCAACGTAGATAAACGACAAATAATCTATCCTTAATGCATAAAGAGAATGTACAAATCAAGAAGAAAGAATCAAATTGACCATTTGAAAGACCAAAAAAAGAGCAGAACATGAAAATATGAAATACCAATGGCTAATAAATATTTTTTATTAAACAAATTAACTTTACTAGCAAGTAAAGAAAATAAATGAGATATAAATGTCACAAAGAGAAATAGCCCCTTATCTCTAATCAAATTGGAAAATATTTTACTTTTTATAGTAATATCTAGTGATATCCAGAGTGCAGAAAACAGGCATTTTCAAACACTGCTGGACATAGAGCGGAGTAAATCAGTGGAGTATTTAGAAATATTTATCCAAAGTCTTAAAAATTTGACCATCCAATTTCACTCTTAGGAATTTACTCCAAGGAAATAAATATGAATGTATCTAAAGAATACTTATTATAGAATTATCTAAAATAATAGAAGTGGAATCAAAACCCAACAATAAGGAATTAGTGAAATAAATATAGTTCTTCCATATGATAGAATGCAGTATAGCCATTAAAATCATTGTTCCAGAGTATCTAATAATACAAGGAAACGTTTCAGACATAATGTTAAATGAAAATGGCATGTTACAAAAGAGTATTACTCCAGTTTTGAAAAATAAAAAGAGAATAAGTATATTTACTTACATAGAAAACTGAAAAAATACACATCAAAATGCTTAATGATTATTATTTTAGTGTGATGGAATTTCTCTGTGTGTGTGTTATAATTTCTGTATTTTTCAATGTTTCCACCGGGGACATACATTTCTTTAATAATCAGAGAAAAAGATACACGTATCTATCTTTATATCATATTGATTCATATATATATATAATAAATGTAAATGCTGGGCTTATGCAATCCTCCCACCTCAGCTTCCTGAATAGCTGGGACTACAGGCATGCACCACCACGCCCAGCTAATTGTTGTATTCTTTTGTAGAGATGCAGTTTCACCATGTTGTCCAGGCTGGTCCCAAACTCCTGGGTTCAGGTAATCCACCTGCCTTGGCCTCCCAGTGTGTTGGGATTACAGGCATGAGCCACGCCTGGCCCTAGCAAAATTTCTTATATATACATTGTTGGTAAGAGTGTAAATTATTATAACCACCTTTGAAAGCAGTTTGGCATTAAGTTGGACAATTGAGTATTCACATACTATATAATCCAAGTAATTCTTCTTATAAATATACTTTTGTACATGTACAAGAATATACATAGATGCTCTATTTGTACTAGCAAAATCCTCGAAACAAGCCAAATGCCCATTGACAGGAGAATGAACGAAGTGAGGTATATGTACACAGTGGAATACTATATAGTAATAAAAGTGAATGAACTACATGCAACAATATGAAAGAGCCTGAACAATTTATTATTAAGCGAAAAAATAGGTAGAATATTAATTACAGAGCGTACCCTTTTTTTTTTTTTTTTTGAGACAGAGTTTTACTCTTGTTGCCCAGGCTGGCGTGCAATGGTGTGATCTCAGCTCACTGTAACCTATGCCTCCTGGGTTCAAGCGATTCTTCTGCCTCAGCCTTCCAAGTAGCTGGAAGTACAGGCATGCGCCACCATACCTGGCTAATTTTGTATTTTTAGTAGAGATGGGGTTTCTCCATGTTGGTCAAGCTGGTCTTGGACTCTCAACCTCAGGTGATCCACCCACCTCGGCCTCCCAAAGTGCTGGGATTACAGGCATGAGCCACTGCATCTGGCCAAGTGTATCCTTTTTACAAAATTAAAAAGTAAAGCTAAACAATATATTTTGGGAATGAATATATGTGATAAAACTAGAGATATGTAAAAACAAAAGAATAATAAACAATATAGTGGTTATTTTGGGTGGGAGAAGGCTGAAAGATGGGAAGAACGACAAGCATATGGGTAAAACGTATCAAGTTAATGTCAATATCTTAGTTTCTTCGTTGGGTGGCAGGTTCATAGTTGTTGGAGATGTTTAAGAAGAGTTCCCATCTGCAAGGAGTGTGGTTGGTGCTAGTTAGTGATTAGCCCCCAACTTTTTTTTTTTTTTTTTTTTTTGAGGAAAGGTCTCACTCTGTCACCCAGGCTGGAGTGCAGTGGTGTGATCACAGCTCACTGCAGCCTCAACCTCCCAAGGCTCAGGTGATACTCCTGCTCCAGCCCCCAGAGTAGCTGGGACAAAAGGTGCATGCTGCCAGTGATTTCCTTTTACAACCCCTACAACAAACTGCTTACTCAACTTTGTTAATAGCTACTCCCTTCCCCCACATGCAGACTCCAGGACCTCAAAGACAACTTGGTTGTTCCTCTCTTACAGCACATTGCCAGCCATTCTTCAAATTAGTCTCTTGTCCTACAACATATGACCTGTTCAAATGGGATTTTAGCTGTCTTTCAGATGGAGACACTTGACTGTGTTTCGCTTATTCCCAGTGACCTCGCAAAAGCAATGGAAAGATCCTGTAGAGGTTCTTATTATGGGAGAGTGTGCTCTGCTGGCAAGAGTTTAATTCTAGGTAGAAGACCCACCTGGGTTGTGATTAGAAGTCCTTGGGCCATCAGAATGTCTTGCAAATGAAATAGGTGCTTTGGGAGGTGGAGAGTTCTCCAACACTGGAGGTATTCAAACAGAATCAAGGGGAGCATTTGGACTAGCTGTCCTCTAAGGCCGCTTCTAACTCAGGATGTGAGTCCAGGTTTCATCCTCTTCCAGAGGGCAATCAGAGCACAGCCCTCTGTAGTAGATTGAGTGGCATTTTTAATTCTATGCATTATCCCCCACCAGCAATTTTGTCACAAGTTAATAGCCTGTCCTATTAACTTAGATTGTAACACTAATTAGGTACCTGGCATACGGGTATTTATGAGCCTTGAAAATAAGGGCCAAAACAAGGCCAAACACATTTTTATGAGCTGTTCTCCTTCCCTACAATGAATTCCCATATTCACAGAGATAATGATGAAATAAGAAATGTGCTTGGTATCCTTCATGTATGTGTACATTTCTTAAGATCACAAGTACCTTTAACTGATCTTGACAGCCAGAGAACAATTCATTCAGGCAACTTTTTTCCTTATAGGTTTTATTTGGTATCTTGTTCAGATTCCAGGCTTCTCTGGGTGACCTCGTGATTTGATTGTCTGATCAGGGAACATTACTCATTAAAAATAAATGTACAAAGAGGTTTGGAGATTGAAGTTTCATGTTTTATTTGTTGAAAAGAAAGAGGTCATGTCAACTAATCAAATTCAACATACGTAAATGCAATTCCCAAGCCTCTGAATGCAGGGTATAAAGAAGGGATTACAAAACCAACTCGTTAACAAGTACTGAGGGAGGTTTCTTAAATGTCTGGGTTCTACTAAATACAGACCGACCGCCCAAGTGGTCCCACTCTGCTTTTCTGTCCATTTAGGTTCTGTCGGATGCCTGATTTTAGGATATTTTACTCTAGGAGCTAAGATGGTTTAATTTCATTTAAACATTCCATTTGTACAGCAAAAATGGGAAATGACTCTTCCTAGCTCAAATCATGACTTTCCATTATCCCCTTTAGTGTCTTTTTCTTCTTTAACATGGTATTAAGGATGGGAGAAAAAGCATGGGGTTTTGAATTAAAAACTAAAAAGAAATTGGGTTTCAGATTAGCTCTGTTACTAGTTTTGTTACTTTGATGAGGAATTTTACAGTTTTGAGGTTTATTCATTTTTAAAATTGGATAGATAACTATATCCACTCTCACAACAACCCTGTAAGATGGATATATAACTGTATAACTATAACCATATGACTAAATCCATCTCATAGGGTTGTTGTGAGAATTAAATAAAACTGTCATGTGTTTAGAATTTTCTTTGTTCTGGAAGGGATTTAAGGCAGCTTTATAGATAAGGCTCTAGTAAACACACAACTTTATAACACACACGTATGTCACACACAGACTCATATGACATATATACACACTATACACCAATGTAGCATAAATTTAAAATATACATAAAAGATGAAAGGAAAACAAAAGTGGGAACATATAGTGAAGTCAGAAGTGAGAATAAAAATATGAATGAGATACAAATTTGATTGTAATATTTACAGCAAATAGCAAAAACTAAAAATAAAAAAAGGAAGCCTAGTCTATAGAACATTTCACAGTATCCATAATGTAAAAGGAACCAGTCGTCCCGGAGAACTAGTAAATGTCATTGTTTCCAGAAGACAGTATATGAGGCAATGGACAAAGTCTTTGACAATGATCTTACAGTAAATGCAATGATGCACTTCATAAGGCTGTTTATTATATGGATTTTTTATGACATTACCCAAAAGTAAAATATGACCAAAAAATCCTAGAACATGTAGAAGTTGCTTAGAATATGTTTCTAGGTATATTGCATCCTGGTGACTTGGCTTGCCTGTCTAGGAGGATACATGGACCATGTATGCTTCAAGCAATTCTCCATGTACTAAGAAAGAGATGAACCTATAAGCAACAAGATGCTATAGAACAATGGATAGTCACTCTCCCAGTACCTCTAGCCCAAGAAATGTTACTTGTGTCTCTGTTTGTGGAACTGTCATGATTACAAAGCAACTTGATAGACTTAACCTTGATAAAGTTAATTCCTGAAGACTTAAAGGGTGATTCCTACTAGGAATATCTGCATTTCAATAAGCAACTCTTGAAGCTCCCAAACCCTGAAAGCCCTAAAGAAATGGTCTTTAATGAAAATGCTTTGTTCACAATGACAAGACAGGTACAGAGGAGGTTTTCTTCCTGGGATTTTATTTTCTACATAAGTGGCCATTGATGCCCTTACTTATAAAACTATATGTCTCTAGGGTGAGATTCCAAGTCTAAATCTAATACAATTTTTTTTAATTTTCAGATTTTTAGAAGAGGCCATTTTATAAGGAAGACACTTTCATTGAATGTGTTTTCCAAGAGAACTGTTGCTAACAGTATGTTACTTATGTGTCCTTCGTAATTCCCATGTGCTTGTCCCATGAATAGATCTCACTCTGTTCCCAAGAGCAACAAACCATTCACAACAAGACCTGATGAAAACAAGTTATTTTCAAATTGATTTTCCTTTCTGTAAAAAGCTCTTATCATCCAATTTACTAAAAAATTTCTTCTAATTAAAGGCTCATTATTTAAAAAAAAATACAGCTTCAATCTTTATGCCATTAGGTAAGAACATGCTCTGAAAATCAAGTAGCTTTCAGCAGTACAAAAGAAAATGAATTCTTTGAACTGGGAGTTGCGTTGGAAAGAGATTGCTACCTGGAAAGCTGATCAATACCTTCTGTGTTTCAATCCATAAATGTATGATAATCAGTCAGGAGTGGCAGCTGTCACACTCCCCAATGTTATGGAAAGGATTACAATAAGCAAGATAACAGAGTTACCATTTCATCTTTCAGCCTCCATGCTTACAGTGCCTTCAGCTGACGGAGGCCAGAATTACTCACCTGCCATTCTCAAAACCCTTCTTATTAAAAGAATATAGTGATCACTTAGTTACTTTAGACTGGTGGAGCCTGTGTGTTCTGCTGGAGTTCATGAATATTACAATAGCAGAAAAACAGCACAAGTTGGCTCTCTATATCCTTCCAGATAATGAAGAGTTTCTTAGGGGCTGAATAGAGTCTCTTTTAAGAAAGGATGGGTTTTTTTAACCCACGTTTTTATCCATTTTACCTGAAGAAATCACTATTTACAAAGAGAGAATGGGTATCATTGGGTGAAAGTTCGCAAAACCATTAAGCAGAAACATTCATTGATCAACCAAGTTCTTTCTAACTAATTCACTGGAGCCTTGCTGAATACAGAAAAAGTCCAGGAAACAAAGAGTGAGGCTTCAAGTGGTGGTCAAATTAATGGTCAGCTGGGAGACTGCTAGATACCCAAGTCACTCCCGTATGGGCAGACGGTGAATCCACAGGGGTCCCATCAGGAGAGAGAAAATACACAGTCATTTACACAGGGAAGTTTAATATAAAAAATTGCTGAGTTATGATAGGAGAGCAACCATCAGGATGTAAAGATAACCCTAAAAGATACCATAGGGCTGAGGGAGAGTATCTAAGGAGGGACAAACTTGGGAGGGCCCCCACCCACCAAGCCTGGGGTTCAGACCTTGCTGGAGAAGGGATGGTTGCAGCCCAGTGGTAGCAGATAATTTTGCTGGGTTTCCAGTTCTAGCTCATCCATTGGTGCTGAGCAACAAGAGACAGCCCTCTGAGATACAGGCGAGTGGACAGGTGGACAGGGGCACAGAGGGAGTCAGGGCTCCATAGCGGGTGGAAGGCCTGTATCGTTTGGTGTCCACATGGGAAGGGCCATGGGAAGGTGGTCACCAGACCCAAGCAGGACTGCACTGGTCACTGAGGGACTGCAAATGTGTGGCTGGGGCAGAACACCACCAGGTATCTCTGCACCCATGCCCCATTGACAGACTGTGGTAGGGATAAGAAAAGCAAAATGTGGCAACTAGAGCCAGGAAGAGAAGCCTCCTTCTTCCTGGAATGTCTCTGCAGTACCCTCTACTGACAAAGCTTCTATCACTTTCACTCTAAGGGAGAAATGCTTTGAGTCCAGTGGATTATGGCAGAGTAGGTATGAAGGGTGACATTGGATCTGAGAGGCAATACATTGATAACTGGCTCATTTATAATGATATAAAGCATCTAAAAGTGGTGAGAAGTAGGAAGGGGGAAAGGCCTGGCAGTCCCATTACTTCCTATATCAAAGGAATTTGGCTTTTGTACTGATGTATAAATACAGAGGTTTGTAGAACGCCGGTCTATATGGATGATGGAAAGACAGTAACGATGTTCTGCTTGGGCAAAATTGTGCAGCCAATCTATATGTTTAACCAATTGCTTACTAAACAATTAACTTTGTTACCATTAGCATAAATGAACAGGGTCTGCCATGTATGTTGTCAATGCCCCTGCCCCACCCAAAAAAGAAAAATCTACCAAGTCAGGTTGGTGGCTAGGGGTGAGTTAGAAGGAAGAATGGGTTGATGTTTCAGTTTTCAGACAGCTTATGGAGAATTGATCAGATAGCTAACCTTTGGCAACAGTTAAAAGGGCCCCTCCACTTTGGGAGGGCTATAAGGGAGGTGGAGGGAGACATGGAGATGGCTTTGACTATCAGTGCTAAAAAGATCTGGGAATCAAAAATAGTATCTTATAAGGCCCCTCCCTGACTTTCTATTACCATGGGAATGTGACACCACTCCACATGCAGCCCATTTTAGACTCTCCCTGACGTTTCCCTTAGCCCAGTTTCATCCAGATGGTGATGCCAGAGGGGAGGGAGTGGTAGAGTTGGGGGCTCAGATCTGGGTCCTCATCTTTCTTAGGAATTGCTGGATCCCTCACACTTCTGTGTGTAGGTTCCAGCTCTACATCTTTGGAGGCACTTTCTGTTCCCCAGGAGTACTTAGAGCTACATGTTACTGTACCGTCAAGCTAGGTTCTGAACTTTAGAATGCATTTTTAAAATTAAATACGAAAAACCACCATGGGAGTCAATCATGAGATGAGCACGTGGAAAAATGCAGTTGCTTAGGCAGCAGTGTGACTGCCTTTGATTGGGAGCAGAAAAACAGCCAAATATGTTTTCCATTGATTATAATAAGGCTACACCTAATTTGTCAGAAAATAGCGTATCTCATGAGTGTGGATCTTTTCAACTTTATAGACATTAAAATTCATACCAAATTTTTAAAGAAGGTGATAGGCCCCAATAAAAATAATGACTTAGATTGGGCCTGTAAGCCATAAAGTAATGGGGAGTTGCATAATCATTTAATATAATCAACTTAATTGTATGTGTGTATGCATACATAGATAGATAGAAATAGATATATCTAGATATCTATATAGCTACGTGTTGATATATATACACACATACATATACATATATACATACATACTTATATGTCATATATATGGATATATAAATCTGTATTTTTATATACATTGCATAGCTCAGATTCCCCAAATAATTTCTGACTCTTCATGTTACTAAAATTTGGTTTTACCAGAGGTTATCTTGTGCAAGAAATGGTCAAGAATTTTAACAGGAATTCATTATTCAACCATTAATAGTTGCCATTAGGATGAAGAAAATTGTGTGTGTGTGTGTGTGTGTGTGTGTGTCTGTGTGTGTGTGCAACATTCTATGAAATGACTTTTGCAGTGATGTTCTGTTGAATAACAGAGTGACCTGAATGATAGCAGGACACAGTGTGAACATGAGGGTTCTTCATACGTGAGTTACGTTTAGAAGATAATTCTGTTTGGAAGCCTTTTCTATTTTCAGATCTTATTAAGCCCTGTGAGGTCTCTTAGACTTACTTGTCTGGAATCAACAATGAGTAAGAACAAGAACAAGTGCTAACTCCATGAAAGGCCAAAGTATTTCTCTCCTGAGACAAGTGGCACACACGTGGGTGAGCAGTGCTGTGGAATATGAGGGCGGTCAGTGCAGAACCAGCTGGAGAAATCAGGAAGAGCTGAAGTCAGAGGAGGGCTGAGAGAGCAAGTTTGAATGGACTAGAGTTCTCTTACATATGCTTGAGCCTCACATCAACCCCGTGAAGAAGGGAAAAGCAAAAATTGTCATGTTCATTTCATGAATAGAGAAAAACTCAGAAAAGTCAGAGGATTTATATGCCCAAGGTCACAGCTAATGTATAACAGAGCTGGGATTGGAAACCAAGTCTTCTAACTACAAATGCCTTATTCTTTCCACTTCATCACACTGACTCATATCTATCTGCCAAGTTCCTTCCCACGTTTTAATTTTTTTTAAAGCCATGGAGTAAAAGCTTAGGTATTAATGGTGAATGGGTGACGTACTTCATTTTATAAGGATAAATGTCTTCTTTGGTTGCTAAATTACAATAACAGACTCTAGACATTTTCATAAAAAGTATTTAATAAAAACACCTAAAGAGTTTCTTGTATATCAAAGTTAAATGAAATAGATTAAGTAACAATAAGGAGAGCCTTTGATCAGGCATCATAGCCAAACAAGGCTTGGTAACATTTCTAAGGAAGTGCTAAGTAAATAAAGAGACTTTGTCTTGCTCTAGGAAGGAACACACAATGTCAAAATTTAACCAAAATTGTTCCTGGAGAATAAAGTTTCCATGTCACATTCATGTGATATATTTTGTTTGGGATCTCATGGGATGGAGAGGGGATGGAGAAATAGAAAGACATTTGTGAATTCTTTTTGGCTTGTTTCTTTGTAAAGAAACAAGAGCTAGTGGCTTTAGGAATGGTGGTAGGAAATAGAGTCCTGGGTATAAATGAAAGATGCTGGGTTAGATCCTAACTGGAAACGATTCACCACATTGCTAGCCAGCAGTTATTCAGCAATCTGGATAAAGTGATTTGATGTCTGTTGTCATACTGGGTGAGCAGAAAACTCAAAGGCCTGGTCCTATTAACCAACAGCCAACAACCATTCAGAACAAGGTACATTTTCTTAACTGCTTCCTATACATCAGGCTGTGCCAATCTCTTTACATGGCAGGGACCCACTTAAGACTCCAGAACAACCCTACAAGGGAGTAAGGTTATTTTCTCCATTCCACAGAGGAGCCAACTGAGGCTTAAAACTGGCCTATAATTTTATTTTTTAGTTGATTCAGTTTTTTTCTTACATATAATCTTAATGAGTCTTTGAGGATGTGAAAAAAGGTTTGTTCTCTACCTGAAAAGCTAATTTTAAAATACAAACTAATTTGATGAATTTCCTACCACAGGGTATAAGAATAATTATTGAATCTTAGGAAAGCAGTGAATTCTTCTCTAGAACTCATTTTTAAATAGAGCTAAGATTTTGGGCCAGGGTAAGAATAGTCATGGGATTGGATCACCGGCTCCTTCATGTCCCTTCAAAGACCTGTTTTTCCATGATTCTATAATTTACATTCAGATTAAAATGCAGAGTTGAAAGGTGCTTCTATTTTGTGTTAGTAAACCAACTGAGCTCTTTTCTTGATGACCTCCTATAGGATAAGATTTTGAGAATTGAGGCTGGTTTTGAGGAGAGGTTGGGATGTAGATGTAGAGTGTTGGATGAGAGCAGCTAGGGAATCCAAGGACAGTGTGCAATAGCATGACCAGCACAGGCAGCCAGAGAGAAGCCAGCAATCTACTACTGAGGTCAGGCAAGACCAAACCAACAGGTTCAACATGGCAAATGGGAGGCAGATCCCAGAGTTGTTTGAAGCATCAAAAGAGAGGGAATAAACCATTTTTGGGGTTCCTGTACTTTCACCGGAGGCCAAAGAAGGAGCAGTTGTGGAGCTCAGGTAGCCGAACACATGGTTTTGAACGTGAGCTCCTGGCCGGGCGGAGTGGCTCATGCCTATAATCCCAGCACTTTGGGAGGCCAAGGCGGGCAGATCACGAGGTCAGGAGTTCGAGACCAGCCTGGCCCATATGGTGAAACCCCGTCTCTACTAAAAATACAAAAATTAGCCGGGCTGGTGGCATGCACCTGTAGTCCCAGCTACTCGGGAGGCTGAGGCAGGAGAATCGCTTGAACCCAGGAGGCAGAGTTTGCAGTGAACTGAGATTGCGCCACTGCACTCCAGCCTGGTGACAGAGTGAGACTCCTTCTCAAAGGAAAAAAAAAAAAAGTGAGTTCCTTATTAAAATCATGCCCAACTAATGTAAAATCCTATTGCTTTTTAGTTTTTGAATGTTCTCATAGTCCTCCTAAAATAGTAGTTTTTTGGTTAAAAGAAAAAAGTTGAAGTGATTTAAACTTGCTTTGACCTGGCTTCAGAGAGTTTCAGTAGACCTTACTAGATATCTCGAGACCATTTATACAGTAACCTTAAAGCAATAGTTTTCAGTTTTTTGCTGTTGATGGCTGTAAGCCAAATTTTATTAAGAATATCAACATTCAAAACAATTTTGCTGCTCTGTATGAGGAAAGTTGCAGGATTAAGCATAGTGTCTGCTCTTACCACCCCCAACACCCTCTGAGGCTCCAGGGGCACCTCCTAGGAACCCTTAGAACTCTGGGGAGAATATTTTGGAAACTATTTCCTTGAAGAAAGAAAATCTATCCTGTTGGTAACCTCTGGAAAAATGATTGGAAAATTGTCTGTTACCTTGCCCTTAGAAATTATAGAAAATTGTTTCACATTTCATATGCCCAAAGGTATAATACATGCATAATTATGGATGAACTGTCTTTGCATAAATTTTAAACTATTAAAGCAATTAATGATTAATGACTAGATTAGGGAAGATGCTCAGGCTCTATTAGAATCTCAAGTCCACCAGCCCCTCCTGAAAACAGTAGATTAAAGGGACATTCAGGGAGTATCTTGTTGAGGGTAGAGGACAGTAAGAAAGAAGGATTTCTGGCCTCAGTGATTTTATCATAAGTTCAGGTATGTGATGTTAACTGAGCCAAGTTAAAATAAAAACAGGAGACATTCAAAAATGTTTACATGTAATATTAGGATGAAAAGAGTATCTTAGAAATGGCTGTTCTGCGTACTAACTGCCTCTGAAACTAAATTTGCCTGGGCCCTGTATACAATTGTGGAATTGTAATTGGTAACTTTTTCATAATCTGTATGTATACACATAGGGTGTATCAAAATACAAGCCTATCCATTAAAATAAAAATCAACATATTACAAAGTGTCTACGTATTTTTGAGACACATAATCCACAGGTTGACCATAAACACAAATGTTTCTGTACTCCTTGTATCATAGCCAAATTGTGGGTATTTTGAGAACATTTAGGACAACTCTCTTTTATTTAACTTGAAAATGGTTGGTCGTTCACTTCAGAATTTGCCATCTTTTCTATCTTGTTATGTCAGCCACATCAATACTATTGGCAACGCTTTTAAATCCATCAGTGTGATACCAGATGTGAGTTTTCCTATTTTAAATTTCTGCTTTCTTTCTCATATTATAATGAATATGGCAATATGGTTATATGCAGTATTACTGCCAGTCAAGGGTCTTATTATATACTATTATTACATATAGCAATATTTTATTGATTTATTTATTTTAATTTCAATAGTTTTTGGGAAACAGGTGGTTTTGATTACCTGGATAAGTTCTTTAGTGGTAATTTGTGAGATTTTGGTGCACATGTCACCTGAGCAGTGTACACTGTACCCATATGCAGTCTTTTATTCCTCAGACACACAGCAATATTTTAAAATCTCTAATGCTATCATCATCATGATCACAAAAAAAGATTTCTCAAATGTACTTTAAAAGGCCGCTCTCTGAATAATTTATAAACTCTCTGAGCTTCAGTTTCTTCATAGCTATAAAATGGGGGCTAATAATATCTACCTTCTATAGTTATGATGAGGATCAAATGAAATAAGGTATGTAAAAATGTAGTAAACTCAAAGTACTATAAACATCAATGGTGGAGATATAAAAACAGAAGCACAGGAGATAGCTCAGATGGTAGCCACATGAAAAATACCCCTTTGATTTTCTTGCTGTCCTGGAGTCGTCCTTTATGGTTCATGTTTCTATTCTCTAATGGACATACATGTGTGTGGGATAACTGTGGTTTCCATTTTTTGAATGCAGCTCCATGTCTTCTACATGCTCAGATGAGTAGCTTGGGGAAACACTGCAAATGCATGAAAACTAAAATACAGTTCTACACAAAGCATCCAAAGGTCTACAAGCTTTGTGAAATCAGCATGTTTGGTTCTGACACAAATAGAACCAGCCACAATCTAATTTGTTTTAACTCTTCCCCAAGGAAACACAAGTCATCCCATGAGATTTTTATAAATTGTCTGTTGGCCTTGCTGTCTCTTTCTCTCCTTTCATCTGGCAAAAATAATGTCTTGGTTCACAAAGCAAAACTCGGTTATTGATTTAATGCCAATAATTCTGGCTTCTTATGTTCAAGGTGTTTTCAAGTGATCATGGTAGAATATGCGGGGCTCTTCCTGGGAGGGTACAAAATGGCATGGAGCAGAAAATAGCATGAGCCCAATGTAATATTCCAGATAAATAGAATTTCCAGGCTTTTAAGTATCCTTTAAATTTGTTGAGGGTGACCATGAAGACTGTTATGTGGGGTGACCACAGAAATTTTCAAAAGGAATAAATGGCTAGTTTGATACTTCCATCTGATATCGTCATCTCTGAGCCTATGTTCCTGCCAGGAGAGCTTTCTCCTGCCCTCTCTACCTGACCAACTCCTACTCATACTTTAAGACCCAATTCCAGTTTCACCTGCTAGAACCACATGAACCTAGCATGATCTCTTGCTCCTTAGAATGCCTATCATACCCATGGATATGTACCCAGGGCATTCTCAATCATGGGCTACCTTTAATTGGCATTTTACATTTCATGTGCACATGTCTTAGCTGCTCAGTGAGGCCACAAGCTTCTTGAAGGCTAGAATAGACCATAGTATCCAAGGTTCTATATATAGTTGGTCCTCTGTGTCCACAGATTCCACATCTGTGGATTCAACCAACCACAGATCAAAAATATTCTTAAAAAAAAGAATTGAATGGTTGCACCTGTACCTCACAGACTGTTTTTCTTGTCATTATTCTCTAAACAATGCAGTATAACAATTATTTACATAACATTTACTTTGTATTACATATTATAAGTAATCCACAGATAATTTAAATTATATGGGGGATGTGCCTAGGCTATATGCAAATATAACGCCATTTTATATAAGGGACTTTATATAAGTGACTAGGTTATAGGCAAATATTACACCATTTTATATAAGGGACTTGAGCATCCTCAAATTTGGTATCTGCAGGGGTCCTGGAAGCAATCTCCCACAGATTCTGAAGAACTATATCTGCTATGTGTACAATAAATAGCTTTTAAATTAAAATGGATTGATTTGACAGAAAAATTCAAAGGTTTGGATAACATTTTCCAAGCAGCTGAACATAAAATTTCAATAAAAATTCTGCCATTTGGAATGTCAGAATATGATCTAAAAGCTTGACTTGACTGTTAGAATACAGGGCCTCCAAGGAGGATGAAAGCTGCTTTTGAATAACAGAAGGTCAAAGAAGTAGTTGGTTAATTTTCTTTGGTTTTGGAAAAGGAATTGAAAAACCAGCCTGTTTTGCCTACATATTGAAGGACTGTGGTTCTAACTTCCATGTGCAATATCAAATCCTACCCTTGATTTGGGCATAAGTTGGATTGAGAAACCTCCAAGGCAAACTTTTAAAAATTACTCCCACTCTGGTTCACAATGTCAGAAGAATTAGGAGGCTACACATGAAGCCCCAGATTAATTTTGTTTTTGAGACAGAGTCTCATTCTGTTGCCCAGGCTCGAGTGCAGTGGTGCAATCACAGCTCACTGTAGTCTCGACCTCCTGGGCTTATGTAATCCTCCCATTGCAGCCTCCCAAGTACCAGGGACTATAGGCACGCACCACCATGCCCAGCTAATTTTTAAATTTTTTGTAGAGCCTAGGTTTCACCATGTTGCCCAGGCTGTTCTCAAACTGCTGGGCTCCAGTAATCTTCCCGCTTCAGCCTCCAAAAGTGCTGGGATTACAAGGCATGAACCACTACGCCTGGCCCCCAAATTAGTATTCATGGAAAAATTTAAAAGAGTATTGTACTTATCAAGCAGCTTTGGAAGAGCTTCTAAATACCCATGAGAATTTGCAGACCTTTCAGTGGAGAAGAGCTCTGTTGTGATCTAAGTGATCTAAGCAGCAGACCTGGATGCAGACAGCCTCTGGTTTTTCACAGTGTGAAGTTGGGATTACTCACTCTTCCTGTTATTTTCCGATCCTTTCCTACTTTCTGCTCTGTTTTCTAAAGACTTTCCAGTTTTCACTGTAATCCAACTTATTTCTATTTTGGGGCAAGCATGAGCATGTGTTCAGTTCTCCAATTTGGGAGCATCAGTTAATTTTCAAAATGTGTGTCTTTAGTGCATGATTTGGGAAATTTCTTCTGTGGGCTATTTTTATTGTTCTCCTTTATCAGCTGATGGTATCCCAGAATCTGAGAGTTGGTAAGAGCTGGTTTTGTAACCAATCTTGCACAATCATCTAGCCCTCTGCCTGCCTGTCAGATATCTGAGTCCATGGAAAGAAACTACAGTCATTATATTCAGAATTGTAAGTCCCTCCATATCCAGAAAACTTTCTAATGAACACCTGGCATTCCACAGATTATAGCGTGAGAGTCTTGGAAGAGATTGAACTTCTTCAAGGATTATTTTTTCTTGAACATTAGTTTCTTCCTAACGCATTCCTAAAATTTGATGCTCTTTTATTCTTAAACATTTCCAGGGAAGAAAAATTTACTGCATGCTCTGGCTTGGTTTTAATGCTTGACAACCCTTGAAATCAGAAAGTTACATGAAACCTAGACTTTTGCTGCAGTCTATGCCTGACCTCACTTTTTTGGTCTTAACTGGAGCCTGAATATCAATTACCCATGCATTAGATACAACCCATTTGTATGGAGCTCTAGGGGGTGAAAAATTCTGGCATGGGCCATTCTGTTTGACCTCCTCTCTGGGAATGAAAATGACCTTCTGCTCCTATCTCCTGTGCTGCACCATACGGGCCACCTGCTCTGATCTGTTTTGCCTCCCTGTGTTCCCTGGACACGCACATCTTGCTTGTTCCTCTCTCTGCTCTGTGCATGCTGTGTCCCCATCTGGCATACCCCACATCTTTCTCTCACCACCAGAAGGTAAACTCCAGGAGCCGACAAGCAAGGACTTTGTCTCTTTTGCTCACAGCTGTATCACGAGGTGTGTCACAGCCATATCACTCAGAGCGTATGCCTGGAACCGTGTCAGACATGCCACACACACTGGATAAGTGACATTTAATAATTGATATTCAAATTCTACCCAACATCAAGGCCTTTGCCCAAGGAAATAGAACAGCATAAACCATCATTCATGCAACAAAACTGCTGTCTACACCACCAATGAGTGTCTACAACAAGTCCAATACTGCTCCTATATTTGCAGTGACAAGAAGATGGAGTTGACTCCTCATCCACAGTACATGTTTTTGTTAGGTAAAGAATGAGCTGCCTACAATTGTTGATGAGTGAAAATATTGTGTCTCAATAACACATTAAGTTAATGTCCAATTCCAGACCCAGATCACAATAAGATAATAGATACCATTTATTGAGAGTTTAGTATAGTGTGCCAGGCACTATTCTAAGGGCTTTATAAATCTCAACTCAATAATTCTCTTTACCATTCCATGTGTTAGATATGGTCATTATCCCTATCTTACAAGTAATGATACAGAGGAACAGAGAGATTAAGTAACTTGCCCAAGGTCACACAGTTAGCAGAGCCAGGATTGAGACTTAGGTAGGTCTGGAGCTTTAATTTCTATGCCACGCTACTGTTCTCTTTGCCACATCGCTTGACTTTAGGTCTCGTGTTCCTAACCTCTACTTTCTCCTGATGGGGACCACCTTCCATACTACGGGAATGCGACCTCCCTCTGCTAAACACAAACACTGGCACTAAGATTCGGAAACTCACAGTCAACTGTTTCCTTTCTCAACCCACACTCGGCCTCCTCAAGGCTCGCGTTCTTTAACTACTTTCTGTTATTTATGAACACATCTGTCTCCCCATTACACAACAAGTGACTTTGAGGACAGCAAATGTGACTTACTCATCTCCCCCACTCCCTCCCTCCACATTCCAGAACACGGTACAGTGCTCTGCATATAATAGGAATTTAGTAAGCATTTGTTTAATAAATATGTTTAGGGAATTTTTCCTGTTCTTTTCTTTTAAAGCCAAAACTACTCACAAGGGTTAAAAATGTTAAACCTCATCTGTCACCTCTGAGATGGACTGTAGGGAAAACGAATAAACAGTCCACTCCAGCTGCAGGAACCTAGGCCCCAAGGAGCATCCAGAAAGCCCTCAAACCTGAAGACTAAGCAGTCTGTAACACATGAGGCCATTTATTAAGTCAGCAGTGGCCAGTGAATGAAAGGTTGTATTTTCAGAGAAGAATGAACTATAACTTCAGAAGACAGCTTCCTTTGTGGAGGTCTTAACACAGTAAGCAATATTTTGTGGCTCTTTTGGTAACAGTTCTTATCTGAGAATGTCTGTGGTAGATTAAAGATGGCCACAGATGCTTTGCTACTGTTTCCTTTGAGCAGTAGAATCTAACTCCCCTCTTCTTGATTCTGGGCTGGGCTTAGCGACTTGCTGGACCAATCAAATGCAGAGCAAGTGACACTTCATGGCTTCCACGTCGAAGTCAGAAGAAGCCATTGGCTTCCACCTTGGCCTCTGGGCACACTCACTCTTGAAACCCAGCCATTGTGCTGTGAGGAAGCCCAGGGAGCCATGGAGAGGCCAACACGGAGAGGAATCATGGCCTCTGGGAGACAGCCACAGCTGGGGTCCCAGCCGATAGCCAGCAGGGATTTGCCAGCCATGAGAGTAAATGGTCTTGGAGTGGATCCTCCAGCCCAGCCCAGCTCCGCCAGCTGATGCACCTGGAGCAGAGATGGGCCATCCCACCAAGGCCTTCCCCAGTTCCCGACTCAAAAAAAAAAAAAAAAAAAAAAAAGAAACTGAACAAAATGAAGTCATTTTAAGTCACAAGCTTAAAACAGCAATAATGCTGAAACCAGCACAATGAGAAACAGCCCATCAAAAAGCCCATCAAAAAGCTCTTCACTTTATAGGTGATTTTCCCCAAACATACCCATTGGATTACATATTTGACCTGCCTTTACCTCTTGAGTCGTGGTGTTTTAGAAAGAAACTGTTCACTTCATAGGTCAAAACTATGTCAAAGAGAGACATGGAAAAAAAGAAACCCTGTGGCTCTGCTATTCTAAACTGAAATTGTAAGGGAATTAACATGTGGCAGTCTGCTCTGAAAAAATTCAACACATAATCCCATGATTGATTTAAATCCAGATTTATGATATGAAGAAAATCTAAGCCTTTAACTAGATCAAACAGTTACTAGATCAATTATTTCAAAGAAATGTTAGACCGCTGGTATAAGGCCACCCTGATGATAAAATAGGCAAAATAAAAATAGCTTCCCACCTCTAACCCTCAAAGCCTACCATTAATGGTTGATTCACTTGTCTTTATAAGATCCTCTTTTAAAATGCAAATATTCTGAAGGTTCGTGCATTAACAGTTAATGCAGCCTTCAGTTATTCACAAGCTAGACTGAGTTACAGAATTCCAGTTCACTGTGTAGAGGTGGGGGAAATGGAGTGGTTCTTGGTGAGCAGCTGGTAGCCAGCAAGGGAACATGTCACCTGGGAGGGAGGGGAGAAAGCTTGGGAGGCAGCAAGGTGTGCAAACAGTTAGGTGGGAAGCATCTAAAATTTTCTTCTACTTTGCTGGCTTCCTTTAGGCTGACCAAGCTACTGGGACTTACGAGAGCTTTTGAAAAATACAAGGCTAGAAAGGGTTAAACAAGACAGCCAGCAGTACTGAGTCGTTCCTTCCAATTAATAACTCTGTAGGGTCTTATAGTATTTTGCCTCTTCCCAATTTCACCTCCTTGCTGACCCCTACAACTGGTAGGATCCCCCGCCAGTGCTC
The DNA here is from genome assembly GCF_000001405.40 of Homo sapiens. NCBI lineage: Eukaryota > Metazoa > Chordata > Mammalia > Primates > Hominidae > Homo > Homo sapiens. Next base: position 15,874,392 of record NC_000006.12, read on the forward strand.
TTTGAAATTGAGTTTGCTTGACCTCTTGAGTGACTGTGATTCTCAGCTGAATGGGATATTCCTGTCTTTGTTCTCCCCATGTGGCCTCAAATGCTCCTGGCCTTATAGCTTGTCAGCTCATTATCAGGGTGTTCATAGAACAGTTAGAAACCCTAAAGCAAGATAGTTAAACAGGTATTTTCCTCAGGGCCCACAGAAGCTCTCTGCTACACACTGACTAGGGAAGTCCCCATCACTGGCCATGTCCTTTGAGGACACAGAGGAAAAGTACCCAGTTGCTTTCACATAGTAGTTCACCGAGATTAATATTTACCTGGTTCAAATCCTTTCCTCATTACACTAAAGAGCTTCTGCACAATCAACAGAGTAAACAGTTAACCTACAGAATGGGAGAAAATATTTGCAAACTATGCATCCGACGAGAGCTAATATCCAAAATCTTTAAGAAACTTAGACAAATCAACAAGAAAATAGCAAAGAATCCTATGAAAAAGTGGGCAAAGGATATAAACAGAAACTTCTCAAAAGAAGACACACACATGGCCAACAAACATATGAAAAAATGCTCCACATCACTAGTCATCAGAGCAACGCACATTAAAACCACAAAGAGATACCATCTCATACCAGTCAGAATGGTTATTATTAAAAAGTCAACAAATAATATGTGTTAGAGAGGATGCAGAGAAAAGAGAATGCTTATATACTGTTGGTAGGAATGTAAATTAGTTCAGCCTCTACGGAAAACAGTATGGAGATTTCTCAAAGAACTAAACATAGGACTGCCATTCGACCCAGCAATCCTACTACTGTGTATCTACACAAAGGAAAAAAAAATCATTTTATCAAAAAGACACCTGCATTCAGTGTTTATAACAACACTATTCACAATAGCAAAGTCACGGAATCAACCTAAGTGTCCATCAATGATTGATTGGATAAAGAAAATACGGTGGCCCAGTGTGGTGGCTCACGCCTATAATTCCAGCATTTTAGGAGGCCGAGGAGGGTGGATCACCTGAGGTCAGGAGTTCGAGACCAGCCTGGCCAACATGGTGAAACCCCATCTCTACTAAAAATACGAAAATTAGCTGGGCATGGTGACGGGCACCTGTTATCCCAGCTACTTGGGAGGCTAAGGCAAGAGGATCACTTGAACCTGGGAGGTAGAGGTTACAGTGAGCCAAGATTGCACCATTGCACTCCAGCCTGGGCAACAAGAGCGAAACTCAGTCTCAAAAAATATGTATGTATATATGGTACATATACACAATGGAATACTATGTAGTCATAAAAAGAATGAAATAATGTCCTTTTTAGCAACATGGATGGAACTGGAGGACATTATCCTAAGTGAAATAACTCAGAAACAGAAAATCCAATACTGCATGTTTTCTCTTATAAGTGGAAGCTAAATAATAAGTACCCATGGACACAAAGATGGAAGCAATAGACACTGGGGACTCCAAAGCAGGGAAGAAAGATGGGGGGCAAGGGTCAAAAAATTACTTATCAGGCACTATGTTCACTATTTGGGTGATGAGTTCACTAGAAGCCCAAACCTCACCATTACACAATAGACCTGTGTAATAGACCTGCACATGAAACCCTGAACCTAAAATTAAAAAAAATACTTTCCTCATTGATTGTTTCATTTCTTCATATGGCTAATTAGTCACAGAGAAAAGATTATTCTCCTCTGCTGTGCCCAACCCCATACACTTCATGCAGGTCTTTCTTCAAACGGGGGACCATTATACTGGTGTCCATCTCTTTGAAGAAAAGGAGAGGGAAAATCTGGAGTTTGAGGCTCTGTTTCTTATCATAGTCTTTTTCATCTTTTAATTTTTGTTCAACCTTATCTACTATGGCAGAAACTACCAATACCTGAGTTTTCCTTTTGGAGGCACACAATTAGACATATTTCCCATCCTGTGGCATCTATGTGAGACTACAGAACTGATTCCTATCAACGTGACACATCTCAGGGAGGCAAGGTGTGTTACTTGGAGGGCTAGGTGTGTCTGCTATGCTCTCTCAGTCTTTCTTTATACATCTCATAAATGTAGAGAACTCTGACATACAGTCACAAGTTGACAGATGCCTGGATCCCTGAATGATTGCATGAGCAGAGCTCTACATCGACCACACTGAAATGTGACTTGACCGGGAACTTTTTTATGTTACGTTACATTGTTTGTTTTAGCAATCAAGTCTACCCTGACTCATAATTGCCAGCTTTTTCTCTTCTCCTTTCTTATTCTCTCTGGCCAAATGTTTGCTTGGTACTCTGTTCCTGAGTCATTTCTTGAATCTTCAACTGACTAACTCACCAGAGGCTACTTGTCAATGGCCCTAGCTCTTCAAAGACAGGGCAGGTATACTGTTCACCTTTGCACCTCTATTGTCATTCATGCAGTAGGTTCAATAAATAAATGTGTAAGGTGCTATTCATAAGATGTTGCTAAAATGGGTCCTTCTTCTCGAGGTTCTTACCTCAAATTGAGGAGACAAGATATATACATATGTAAGGTAGTATATGAAAAGTGCCAGTGGTTCATATACACCGTGAAATATTGTGCAGCCATAAAAAAGGATGAGTTCATGTCCTTTGCAGGGACATGGATGCAGCTGGAAACCATCATTCTGAGCAAACTATCACAAGGACAGAAAACCAAACACCTCATGATCTCACTCATAGGTAGGAATTGAACAATGAGAACACTTGGACACAGGGCGGTGAACATCACACACCAGGGCCTGTCGTGGGGTGGGGGTCTAGGGGAGGGATAGCATTAGGAGAAATACCTAATGTAAATGATGAGTTAATGGGTGCAGCAAACCAACGTGGCACATGTATACCTATGTAACTAACCTGCACGTTGTGCACATGTACCCTAGAACTTAAAGTATAATTAAAAAAAAAAAAAGAAAGAAAAGAAAAGAGAAAAGTGCCAATGGTTTGTTCAGAAAATAACTGCAGCTGGGGATCAGAAGAGGAAGCTAATATACAGCCTACTGTAGTTAAGGAAGTGTTCACATCAGGGAGGAGAAGTGAGCTAAGCTTTGAAGGGCAAGTAGGATTCTAAGAGGTGGAGGAGATGGGAGAAATCACAGGAAAAGAGAAAGAGGAGGCATCTCTAGAGTTGCCCAGTGACATAAGCACAATTAAAACTTGGTTGTGCACATCATTCTTCCACAAGTGAGGTCCTAACCCAGTTGACTAATCAATAAAATTATACTTATCTGCTCCTGGCATATTATACTTTCATGTACATCTTTGGAACAGTTCTCCTGATCTCTCCCTATATGAGATATATAAATAAGTGCTCATTATTGATAGTAATTCCTATACTCTATCTGACATAGAGTCAGATTATTATTACCAATAAATCAGAGAGTTTCATCTGGCATTCTCCTCCATTCTGTCTGTCTATCAGTAATTTAAGCTTGCAGTCTCATTGAATATATATTCCTCTGTAATTTCTTCCCATGGCTTAAAACTAATTTTAACAGCCCTTTGCATGTGTAGATACATTTATTTTAAAGGGCTCTCATCCATCTCTCATCATAGGATATGGAGAAGACTGAGGCTATCTCCTGGAGCAGAGACTTTAAGTGCAGATGATATTAGCTGTCTATAACCAAGACAGGGCTGTTGGCTTATTATGGCAGACAGGGTTGGTAGTTCATTGGTAGTTTTCAGATGAAGAATTCACTATAAGTGCTAATAAAGCCAGGCCAAGCTGATCGTTGTCCAGGAAGGAGAATAGACAAGGAGAGAGCTCTCAAGAGGGTCAGTCATCAGGAAAGGAGTGGAGAGAAAGTGTTCTGGGGGTTCCAATATGGACTTAAGAGAAGTCATCTCTGAGAGCCTTGTTTCATGTTTATTTTCAACTAGATCCATCCTTTTCCCATTCCTAGCATTCACGCTCCCATCCCAAATCACTGAAGGGTTTCAGGTCTTGTTATAGGAACTATTTTTTAAAAAGTGTTTTTTTGTTTTGTTTTGTTTTTTGAGAGCGGGTCTCACTCCGTCACCCAGGTTGGAGTGCAGTGGCACAATCTCGGCTCACTGCAACTTCCACCTCCCAGGCTCAAGTGATCCTCCCACCTCAGCCCCCACAGTAGCTGAAACTACAGACATGCGCCACACACCTGGCTAATTTTTGTATTTTTTGTAGAGATGGGGATTCGCTACATTGCCCAGGCAGGTCTCAAACTCCTGAGCTCAAGCATTCCACCTGCCTCGGCCTCCCAAAGTGCTGGGATTACAGGCATGAGCCACCATGCACGGTCTAGGGAACTATATTTGATACAGTTGTGATTGTAGGGAAAAATGAGAGAAATGGAATATTTACCCATAAAGTGTAGTTATAAAATTCCTTTAAATTTTCTATTTTCTTCTCCAATATACTTGGAAGCTCAATATATTAATATTCTAGATGTGCTGAATACCCCCCTCTTCTGTCTCTGAGAACACTTACAGTCCTCGCCATTCATCTGGCCCTCCACAGAGTCTGCCTTAATACTGAGGCTGGCTTTTCCACAAGTGCTTTCTCCTTCCTTAGTAGTTACTCACAGACCACAGTTCTTGGTGGTCACCTGTAGACCTGGTTCTGAAGAAGCAGCATAATTGTTACCTGTTTTTCTTCCCAATAGACTCTGAGCCTCCTTGACGGGAAAGATTTTCCTTCTGGACCTCCATCTCCCTGGTGAAAGAAAGGTGGCACATGGCAAATCTTCAACAAACGTTGGCTGTTTGAATGGATTGGTGAAGGATGAATGGATAAATGAAGTGCAGATCCCTTGCAATTGGAGTCTGTGTTAGGGTCTGTGTTATACCTCCTGTATCCTTGGTACCTGGCACTGTTCCTTGAACAGAGTTTTTAAACCCGTGGATGCTCTTTCAGCATGGAAGTCACTGGAATCAGTATTTAGGGGAAGAGTTATGAGTTGTTCTTTATTTCTCTATTAGTTATAACCAGCTTACTTCCACAAAGAGCTTAAAGAAAAAGAACATTAAGACTAGGACTTTTTCTCAAACATCTTACAGATTACAGGATTGTTCTTTTGAACTCTGAAAAATAAGCTGGTTTTGCTGTCAACTTTATGATTGGGTCAGAAGTCATCAGTGCTTTAACAACAGAATCTTGGGTGTGGTGTTTCCATGATTTCACCCAGGCATGTTCCCAGCATGAACATAAGGGAGGGAACACATGATTAAATAACGGTTTTTAACATCTTGTCACAACTACATGTTTAGCCGGACTCTCAATAAAAAATGAATGTGTCCTCAGAGTCACTTGTCTGTTTTAGACACATTTCTAGCAGCACTTTGAACTTTCTTTAAAACATCACACGCCCCTTGAAAGCAGAGTCTGTGCTCTCAGGCTATGTGTGCAGTGAGTGTCTATAAATCCGCAATCACTTTCAAATCTATGGGATTATAAGGCCAGGTCATCCCATGCCCTCAAAGCTGAATTCCAACTTAAATCAAAACCGTTTTCTGACTTAAATCACAAGTGCCCTGACTGGTATGCTCACAACTTTCTTTCCTAATGACTAAAATGGTCTGTGTGTGTGTGTGTGTGTGTGTGTTTTTCTCAGTTTGGCTCTCCCCCTTTCCCCCCTCGTCCCATCTTTCTCCTTATCTCAACAAAACCATCAATTTGCCAAGTAACCACTGTGGAAATTTCATTAGAGCTGCTGTATTTTACTGTAAATATCACCCACCCAGGGCATCCGGTTGAGCGGCACCAGATGTGCTTTCCTGGCCGATCGCCAGCCTCTGCTGAGCCATCGCCCTAGAAGGACATTTTCACCTCTGTGAGTTCGTCACATCAAGAGTAGCTCTTTCCAGAGACTTCTGTTAATAACAGAGAAAGTCTGTCTTGCTTTGTGCTTTAAATTGTGTGCCCCATGTGCTGGAGCTGCATCTGCACAACAGTCTAAAGGCGAACAATTGGGCTCTGTGGTGTTTTGTGGTGTATAAAGTGAGATTCTCATTCTGTCCTAATGAGATGAGTCCAGGCGACTCTGCACACCACTGTAGGGTGGATTGAAGAGATTTGGCAGCCTCTCCATTCCCTCTTCTGGTTTTGGTTTTCCCACCTCTTTACCCACCCAGGTTTCTCCCAACCTGCTCTTGGTACAAGCTGAAGCTCCAACCCTCAGTATCTTAGCATGTGACCTTATTTAGAGATAGGGTCTTTACAGGGGTAATCAAGTTAATATGAGGACATGTGGGTGAGCCCTAATCCCATATGACTGGTGTTCTTTTCTTTTTTTTAACTTTTATGTTCAGGGGTACACATACAGGTTTGTTTTATGGGTAAACTCATGTCGTGGGGGTTTGGTATATATTATTGCATCACCCAGGTACTAAGCATAGTACCTGTTTTTTTTTTTCTGAACCTCTCCCTCCTGCTACCCTCCTCCCTCAAGGGGGCCTCAGTGTCTGTTGTTCCCCTCTTTGTATCTCTGTGTCCTCATTATTTAGCTCACACTTATAAGTGAGAACATGAAGTATTTGGTTTTCTGTTCCTGCGTTAGTTCCCTTAGGATAAGGCCTCCAGCTCTATCCATGTTCCTGCAAAGGACATAATATTATTCTCTTCTTATGGCTGCATAGTATTCCATGGTGTATATGTGCCACATTTTATTTATTCAGTCCACCGTTGATGGGCATTTAGGTTGATTCCGTATCTTTGCTATTGTGAATAGTGCTGCAATGAACACATGCGTGCATGTGTCTTTATGGTAGAATGATTTATATTCCCTCGGGTATAGATCCAATAATGGGATGGCTGGGTCAAATGGTAGTTCTGTTTTTAGTTCTTTGAGGAACCACCACACTGCTTTCCACAATGGTTGAACTAATTTAGACTGGTTTAAGAAGAGGAGCAGAGACGCAGAGGCAGATGTGCAGAGGAAAGAGGATGTGATGACACACAGGAAGAAGACGGCCATGTGGCTGGGGTGATGCCTCTACAAGCCCAGGAACACCAGGGATAGCCAGCAAACATGAGGAACTGGAAGAGGCATGGAAGGCTCCATTCCTAGAGCCATCAGAGAGAGGATGGCTCTGCTGACACCTTGATTTCAGACTCCCAGCCTCCAGGACTGTGAGAGAATACATTTCTGATGTTTTAAGTTGCCCAGTTAGTTCTTGGTGTCTTGCAGCAGCAGCCCCCAAAAAGGAGTACCCCTCTCTTTCTCCCACTCTGCTCACAGCAGCTGTCTTCCAACTCAGGGTCGTTCCACAGTCATGCTCCGCTCTAGCTGCATTCCAAGTGGCAAGTTTTTCTCTCTTTGCCCTCCAGCCCTCACAACGTATCAGTCTTTGTCCACTTCTCCAATGCCTCAGTGTCTTTAGAGTTATTAATAGTGAAGGGACTACCTAAGAACAGTGGCATCTTAGGGCACGGCTGCTGGGCTGACAGGTCAATGGTCTGGGTCCAGGTTGTACATAACATCTACCAGAGGTTTCCCAGGAAAAATGGCTTCCACTGTTTCTCAAACTGGAATCTGAGGTCTCTCTAAGAGTTGTTTTTCTTGAGACAGGGTCTTGCTCTGTTGCCCACACTGGAGTGCAGTGGCACAATCACAGCTCACTGCAGCCTCGACATCCCGGGCTCAAGCAATCCTCCTACCTCAGCCTCCTGAGTAGCTGGGACGACAGGTGCATGCTACCACGCCCAGCTAAGTTTCTAATTTTTGGCAGAAATGGGGTTTCACTATATGGCCCAGGCTAGTCTTGAATTCCTGGACTCAAGTGATCCTCCCACCTCAGCCTCCCAAAATGCTGGGATAACAGGCATGAGCCATTGTGCTCAGCCACTCTGAGAGTTTTTTATCTTGTGTTTTCATTTACAAGACCTTCTAAAAAGTTATTAGTCTTCCAATTATAAAATCAAAACTTCTGTTTTGCAGTGATTATTACAAGCAAATATAATTTTTAAATCCATTTTCCTCGAACACTTTTTTCCCCCCTTAAAAGGGGGCTATTTATTTCTCAAAATTAAGAAACCATGATGCAAATGAAAGGAATGGTCGGACAGAAACCTGGGCTGAGAGGCCTTTGGTCTTACCGCTGGCTTATTCTAATTTTGAGCTGGATCTCATTCAATGCCAAGCCAAATTTGCCAGCTCATCATTAGCCATTACATGTACAGATATATTTGCATGAGGATTTTAGAAAATAAAAACAATTGCTCACCTGTCTTTCTATCAACTGAAACAGCCTTTCCAAATAACACTCTCTTTTCCCCTACCGCACCTCATGGAGCAAACATGCTGTGAGCAACTTTTAAAATAAATTATTCAGAATCTTGGAGGTTGGAAGATGGGGCAGAAGTCCCCTGGAGTATTTTGAAGTAAACACCAAATTATAAATGAAGAGCTCTTTATACACAGGTTATAGGGGCAGGAACAAGGACGGAGTGGATGGGCTGGATTCCAGCCCCTGGCTAACCTTCAGGAAAACAACTGAGTCTCAGTTCACCGGCTGGGAATCCTGAGGGGTAGTGCCCCTGTCTCTGAGGGTCTAGTGGAAAGGTTCCCTGATGAACCTCTGTGTGGATGCATGTGTGGGGGAAGAGTTCTCTTCTCCAGGCCTGGTTTCCACCGTCTGGGCATCATCTACCCCTAACGGAGGTGTGCTGTCTCTGCTCAGGCTGCAGAGAGGACGGGTGGGCCTGAGCGGAAGCAGAGAGTGGGAAGAGATGGCCTTGGGCATGCAGGAAGCCCTCTCTGGGCTGCCTTCCAAGGGCCTGATTTCCAGCTCTGCCGTGGCCCATCCAGGACAGAGGGCTTCAGCAGCTGTTTGGAACAAGGCTTAGTCTAGGAGACAATCTGACAAGGTATAAGAGACGGACCCAACATGTCTTTGGGATGAGTTGATAAACAGCACAAGGTTTATAATTAGATCCCTGATTATCCTAAATTTCTAAAACAGAAGATTTTTGCTTTCCCTTCCTCTCCCATGGTAGAAAACTGGAAGGCATGCAGACCACCCTGGAAGAGCCCTCTTCCCAGAACTCTGGGGGTATAAAGGCTTGCCTAGGTAGGCCAGGACTGAAGAATGACAGGTCATGTCATCTTTTGCCAGATACTGGAAAATTCATTCTAAACACACATACAAAAAATCCCCATTGCATTTAATTAAAATATAATATGGCCAGGTGCGGTGGCTCACGCCTGTAATCCTAGCACTTTGGGTGGCCGAGGTGGGCAGATCACCTGAGGTCGTGAGTTCGAGACGAGCCTGACCAACATGGAGAAACCCCATCTCTACTAAAAATACAAAATTAGCCGGGTGTAGTGGCACATGCCTGTAATCCCAGCTACTCAGGAGGCTGAGGCAGGAGAATCGCTTGAACTCGGGAGGCAGAGGTTGCTGTGAGCTGAGATTGCGTCATTGCACTCCAGCCTGGGCAACAAGAGCAAAACTCTGTCTCAAAAAAATATATATATGTGTGTGTATATATATACGTATATATATATGTGTGTGTGTGTGTGTGTGTATATACGTATATATACACATATGTGTATATATTATATATAAAATATATATAATATATATAATGCATACTCTCTGGGCATGGTGACTCATGCCTGTAATCCCAGCACTTTGAGAGGCCAAGGAGGGAGGATTGCCTGAGCCCAGGAATTTGAAACCAGCCTGGGCAACATAGCAAGACCCTGGCTCCACAAAAAATTTTAAAAAATAAGCCTAGTGTGCTGGCACATGCCTGTGAGTCCCAGCTACCTGTGAGGTTGAGGTGGGAGGATCATTTAAGCCCAGGAGGTCAAGGCTGCAGTGAGCCATGATCACGCCACTGTACTCTAGCCTTGGTGACGGATAGAGACCCTGTCTCAGAAAAAGAAAAAAAAGTGCGTAAAAATGATGAAAATATCACATCATAGAAAACTATATTCAGTGAAAACAGCCAGGCACAGTGGCTCAAACCTGTAATCTCAGTGCTTTAGGAGGCCGAGATGGGCAGATCACTTCAGGCCAGGAGTTTGAGACCAGATTGGCCAACATGGTGAAACCCCATATCTACTAAAAAAAGAAAAAATACAGAAAAGATTAGCCAGGCATGGTGGTGTGTGCCTGTGATCCCAGCTACTCAGGAGGCTGAGGCAGAATAGCTTGAAACTGGGTGGTGGCAGCTGCAGTGAGCTGAGATCACATCACTGCACTCCAGCCTGGGTGACAGAGTGAGACCCTGTCTCAAGAAAAAAAAAAAAAAGAGAGAAAAAAGAAAACTATATTCAGTGAAAAGTAAGCTTTCATTTCTTCCAGATCAGGTGCTCTCTTTTCAGAGGAAACCAAGAATACATTCTTCTACATATTTTTCTGTGCATCAACAAAGATATACGTGTATCAGTAAACATATCTGTTGATATTTATATGACAGAATACTATACCCAATATTTGTGATCTCGCTTTAATCACTTAACACATCTCAATGCTCTTTTTTTTTTTTGAGATGGAGTTTTGCTCATGTCACCCAGGCTGGAGCGTGTGGTGGTGCGATCTCAGTTCACTGCAGCCTCCGCCTCCCAAGTAGCTGGGATTACAGGCATGCATCACCACGCCCAGCTAATTTTTATATTTTTAGCAGAGACAGGGTTTCACCATGTTGGCCAGGCTGGTCTGGAACTCCTGACCTCAAGTGATCTGCCCACCTCGGCCCCCCAAAGTGCTGGGATTACAGGCGTGAGCCACGGTGCCTGGCCCCTCAGTGCTCTTTTTATCTCTACCTAGAATGATCCAACTTATTTTAAAAATCTTCATACTACCAGTGCTGAAACAACATTTTCCACACATTTCTTAGGTGTGCAAGTTTATTTGCCAGATATATTCCTAACAGTAGTGGAACTGTTAGATCAAAGGCATATGAATTTTTCATTTTGATAGATATTGACAAATTGCCCTCTAAAGAGAGCATGTCGATTTATATTCCCTGCCTGTCTGCACTCTTACCAGTGCTGTGCATTTTAAAACTTTCTGATCTTTGCAAAACGTATGAGTAAACAAATGTGTCTTCAGTGATTTTCTTGCTTCCAGTCTTGCTCCTTTTGATTCACTATTCACTCTGCAGCTAGGGTGTGAGTCCAATCCTGTAACTCAGCTTTAGAAGATGCTTCCATGGCTCCTCACCGTCCTTGAAATAGAGTCCCATTTCCTTGACTGGCTCACAAGGCCTTTTGTGTTTGCGGTCCTGTGTAGGTCTCTACTGCCATCCCTCATCTCTTGCTGCCTCGCACTCCACATTTCAGCCATGCTAAACTACTCAGTCTGCTCTCCCTCACCTCCTTCCAGACCTCTTTCCCGTGCTCCACCTGCCTGAGAATACTTTCCACTGCCTGTCTTCCCTACTCTGGCTCACACTCATCATTCTATTTTTGGCTTAGATGTGACATCTACCAGGTTATAACAGGGATGCACTGGCTGCCTCCACAGCCCTCTTACTTCGCCTTTTAAATTATGCAACACTTGGTATATCAAAATAGTATGTAATATACACGTACGTTATGATGCAGAATCATAAAAATAAACCTATGCACCTACCAACTGCAACTGAAGAAACAGATGGCTGCCAACACTGTAATATGTGCTGCTTTCCTATCCATCATTACTCTTACCACACTGGGTGGTAGAGAATCTATACTTGTCTCTATTTCCCACTGGCATCTGAGTCCTGGGAAACAGGTCTGGATCTGACCCATGCATAGTGGTATTCCAAGGCCAAGCATAGGGTGTGATAAGTTGCAATCACTTAATAATATTTTTAAATTGAATATAATAATAGTCAGAAAGGGGAATTTTTTTTTAATAGCCAGGCTCTCAGAAAACAAGTCAGTTATTAAGAACTTATCATCAGTTCACACTGTACTTTGGGTCATTTTTCCAAGGTCAGAGATCAAGTTGTATAGCTTAAGCCTCCTTGTCTGCCTCCTTTGGTGAGGTAGTATGCTATGACTTTTCATTTCTTTTCTTTTTTTCTTTCTTTCTATTTTTTGGTGGGCGGTACCATTGCTTATTTTAATTTTTCAGTTGTGTATCAATAAGGCTGAACAGTTTCTGAAGTACCAGGAATCTATATTAATATTATAATTGCAAAGTGAGTAAACTTACTCTTCCATGGTAATAAGTAATTCAGTTCCTGTCCAAAGCGAGAAATGTCATTCGTGACACTGATTTCACAAATTAAATGCTATCAGCTACTTGAATTAAATAAGGAAACATATCACTAATGGAATTTAAATTAAGGTAACAATAGTAACTCTAATTTAATAAGGGTGGACCTCATGCTAGGCACACTGTAGATTTTTTGCTGATCTTTACCATTATCCTAGAAAGATACGAATGATTATTTCTGTGTTCAGATGAGGACATAGAGGTTCAAAGGGCGAGGGATTGAACCAATGCCACTAAGCCTGGACATCAGAGAGCCAGAACGGGCATCAAAGTCTGTGTCTCCACAAAGCCAAGCCCCTTCCCCCATATCACACAGCATCTCAAACACCATAACTAAAGAAATAGCACAATGCCTTTAAAAAGTATTTTCCTTATTTTTTTCTTTAATTTACCCTGGTCTATCACTTAAAAAAATCATTTTTATTGTTTTAAAATTATAACCTTTACTATTTTTTTACATGGTATTGGATATTTACTAAAAAGAGTATAATAAAGTAGTATGTTATTCATGATAAGTGCTAAAAGGAAAAACAAAGCAATGTAAGGGGATGGGAGGGGACAAGTCTGGATGTTTCGTTAGAAGAGGAGTTCAGAGGAACTTTCTTTGATAAGATGATATTTGAACAGAAACCTCAGTGAAAGGAGGGAGGGAATCTGTGGAGATATCGGGGGTAGAAGGTGGGGAAAGAGGGGTCCCGGGCAAGGTGCACCTGCCTCAGTGTGTACATTCACACCTAATTTGTAGCATATCCCAAGCTATAATATGGCTGTTTACATTTTAGAAGAGATTCCCCTACATTTTATGGAGCTTATGAATTGAAAAAGTTCTCTTAAGTCCTCAAAACAACCGATTTCTCTTGACTTCCAGACCCCCAAGAGCAAGCTGCACCTTTGCCTGCTTCCTGTTGACTCTGAATGAGGAGAAGGTTGCTCAAGCACGCACTCCCACTAGTGAAGCTCAGCAGAGAGCTGGTGATTGGGGACTTAATGAGATGGCACCTGTGAAACCCAAGTACATGCATGAAAGCTTATTGCTATTTTGGTTTTTGTAAGATTGAAAGTCAGGGGCACTCAGCATGGTCATATTTATCAAGCAGAAAGACATAATTCTCTTGTGTATTAGAAGTAAAGGTCCCATTCAAAGCGCATGTGTATTTCTATCTCTCCAGGCATGCTGGGGCCCGTTAGACCAAATACCACGTGGATGGTCTCAGCAGACAGAAAAACTCCACGGAGTTCTATCTGGGTAGAGGAAGGCCATCAAAGGGAGATATTGTCCAGGGCCTGAAAGTGGCACCAAAAAAAGAAAGGGTGGATCTTCACACAGGATGGGTGGAGGGGAAAGGAGGGAAGCTATTTAGCTAGAAACAAAACAAACCCACCCAGAATGAAATTGCACAATAAAAGGAGGAACAGAGAGTTCACAGTGCCAATTCGAGAATAAGTTCAATGCATATTCTAGCAAATTAGTAAATAAAACAGGATGAAATAGTGGATCAAGAAGGATTATTAATGAAAAGAACCATGACTTTGGGTTGCTAGGCTCCAGCTTGAGAGTCGCCAGCAGGACTAGATATGTCTGGTTAAGGTGGGTGGAAGCTGTCTCCATGTTCACAGTCATGTCTGCAAAAATAGAATTGGGATGATGAGAAAAGCCTGAAGGAAAATAAGCTGCTCTTCTACTCTCTCCATTCCTTGTGCATTGCTTCAATTTAACCTTACTAAACAAGCGCCGGCCTGCAGAAAGATGAGTGGTGTTTTCTATTCAATTAATCATTGAGGTGCTCTCCCAAAGAAACCGTCTGTCAATAAGACACATTTGGAATGATGACAGGAGACCATGGACTATTAAACAGTAGAATGATGTGGATTTTCAGCTCACTTTCAAGGTTTCAGAGAGCACATACAACAAACACTTTCCTTCTAAAGACTCTAGGACCCCCACACTGTTGAATAAATGACTGTGTGTGTGTGTCTCTCTCCATCTCTCTCTCTCCTGCTCTGCAACATTTATGAAAAACTAGTGCAAAAATTGTGCATGGTTATGGATTCTCAAATCAAGTTTCCCCTGGGTTATCATTCAGATGAACTTAGCAAGAGAATCTTATTGGTGATAATAATTATGATAATGAAAGTAACTTCCAGGCTGCGTGTGGTGGCTCATATCTGTAATCCCAGCACTTTGGGAGGCCGAGATGGGAGGATTGCTGGAGCCCAGGAGTTTGAGACCAGCCTGGGCGACATAAGGAGACCTCATCTCTAAAAAAAAATTAAAAATTAGCTGGGCCTGGTGGCTCACGTCTACTTGGGAGGCTACTTGGGAGGCTGAGGCAGGAGGATGGCTTGAGCCCAGAAGGTTAAGCCTGCAGTGAGCCATGATTGCACCACTGCACTCTAGCCTGAGCCTGGGCAACAGAGTGAGATCCTGTCTCCAAAAAAAAAGTAACCTCCAATATTTGCACAGGTCCTTATGGTTCATACTTAGTCCCCACAAGAACGCTTAGGTAGTACATATCCCCATTTTATACCTAAGAAAGCTGGCTTAGGCACACGCTGCCAGAATTTGGAAGCAGTCAGCAGAGCAGTCCTAGGGAGTGCTAGGTCTGAGCGGGACTGGACCCTTTATCTCCCTCTGCTTTCCTCTCTGCCCTGGCCAGAGAAGAGCACCAAACACATGCTGTCAATCCTCACTCTGTCTCCACAGGGACGCCAAACGTCCTGTGCTACTAACAGACTTTCCACATGTGGAACTCCTTATGGCTCACAGCAGTTGGGAGACAACGACACTGCTGATCAACCAACTGCTCTGCTGCTGGTCTTAACAAGCAATGATAAAAAAGACCCATCAACTTCTGAGGTCGGCCTCCCAGAAGACAAAGCCTTTGTTCCCAATGTGGAATCAAGTCCTTGAGGGCGCCAGCTCTGTGTCTGTGCTTCCTTCAGCACCCTGCTCTTTTCCTCTTGCCAAATAGAAACCTTTTGAACTAGCATTTCTCAAAGTACTCACCAGAATGTTCCAGAAGATGTTAGGCAATGGAATGTGGAGAGGGTGGTGGGAGGATTCTGTGATCAAATGTGCTTGAGAAATGCTCTTGAAGATTTACATGCACACTAGTATAGTAAAGTTTCTGAGGAATCCCACAGTAAAGAACTATTTAATTTTATTTATTTTTGTGGTTCAGATTCTCCTTTTCTTTCTCCTCTGAACCCTACCCATGTCTAGTGGAATATTTCTTTACCCATTATAGAATTGTAAAATTATGCAACCCTCCAAAATAATATCAGAGCAAGGCCAGGCGTGATGGGTCATGCCTGTAATCCCAGCACTTTGGGAGGCCAAGGCGGGCAGATAACCTGGGTCAGGAGTTCAAGACCAGCCTGAACAACATGGCGAAAGCCTGTCTCTACTGAAAGTACAAAAATTACCTAGGCATGGTCATGTGTGCCTGTAATCCCAGCTACTCAGGAGGCTGAGGCAGGAGAATCACTTGAACCTGGGAGGCAGAGGTTGCAGTGAGCCAAGATCGTGGCATTTCACTCCAGCCTGGGCGACAGAGTGAGACTCTGTCTCAAAATAAACAAACAAACAAAAAAAGACAAAATAATATCAGTGCATAGAATGTTCTGGAAATGCCTAGCTTCCTGAACATGGCCTGGTATACAGTAGGGCTTACAGTTGTTGAACATTTTTAGGTATTTTATAAATCAATCCCCAGTATTTATGTAAAAGAATGAAACTATAGCCAATTAAACAATCATGTTCATTTGACACTGCTATTGCTCAGTGGTTCTCAAATTTTGTTGCAGTTAGAATCACCAGAGGGAACTTTAAAATTTGTGATGCCCGTGCTGCACCCTAGACCCATTCAATCAGAACTGTGGGATTGTAGCCAAAGTATCAGTATTTTTTAAGTTCTCCAGGTGATTTTTATGTGCAGCCAAAGTTGATAACAAAAGGTATGAATAATTATGCAATGGCAAAGAGCAGATAAGGGACTGAGAAGAGTTTCTGGGATGGGTGATATGCATCACTTGAAAATTGTCCGTGAATTTATGAAATTTGTCCTGTCAAAACCGAGATAAATGCTAGAGACTTAGCCTATAGTTTTACCTTTCTAATCAGTAAACATGTGTTTCTAATAATGCATGCGAATTAGTTTAATTATACACAAAAAATTCTGGTTTATGTAGATTGCAGAAAGCTGCAGGTTGGACATTTGTTGCATCATATGGCAATTTGGTTCAAGGTGGACAAACACAGGTAACAATGAAAGACACCGAAGAGTTGGCTTGTAGAATGGGGTTTTGCGGATATGTAACACAATTGATTTATGAACCAATTTCTATGCTGAATACTCTGGAAAACGTTCCCCTTCCAAACTATTAGCCCATCATGGATACATACTAATGGTGGCTGAGTGCTGAAGCTCAGGTGATTTTCATCACTCGGGGCATCATGAGGAAAGAAGAGGCACTTACGATGGAGCTTAGATCTCTCAAGGAAGAGTAGATCTTAGGCCACATGGAGAGTTCTGAGTAGTCAGGAATAAGTAAAAGTAAAAATAATAATAGCTAGACTTTACTAAATACCAGGCTATATTATATATGTCAGTTATTTCATGCAATCCTTGTTTATGAGAGAGGTACTATTTTTATCTCCATTTTCCTGGCGAGGAAACTGGGGGGATTCAGTGAATTTGTGTATGCAAAGTGCTTGGCACCGGAGCTGGCACATGACCAACACTCAATAGTGGTGGCTCCTAATTTTTGGATCATAGAATGTTAGAGTTGGAAGAGACCTTAGAGATCATTAGTGAAACCCATCATTTTATTTCTTAAAATAAAACCGGCCGGGCTCAGTGGCTCACGCCTGTAATCCCAGCACTTTGGGAGGCTGAGGCGGGCAGATCACCTGAAGTCGGGAGTTGGGAGACCAGCCTGACCAACATGGAGAAACCCCGTCTTCACTAAAAATACAAAATCAGCCGGGCACAGTGGCACGCGCCTGTAATCCCAGCTACTCGGGAGGCTGAGGCAGGAGAATGGCGTGAACCCAGGAGGCGGAGGTTGTAGTGAGCTGAGATCACGCCACTGCACTCCAGCCTAGGCAACAAGAGAGAAATTCCATCTCAAAAAAAAAAAATTAATAATTAAATGAAATGAAACAAAATAGTAACAATAGAGGATTTCAATATTTAGAATCTGCCTGAGATTCGGCTGTGATCCAATGTTAAGAGTGCTGGTAAAATCCCATCTACCAAATCCCTCCTCTACAGATAGCATTGTTCTTTGCTCCTGATGGCTGGAGTCCCTTAGGTAGAGACCCCACAGGGCCTTTAAGCTGTGGCCATAGAACAGCATTCCCTGACCACCCGCATTGTGTCACCCTGGAATAGAGGCTCTGACTGGCATGAAAGACGGGGAAGGAACATTCTCTTTCCCTAAATGTCCACAGAGAGATACAATTTTAGAATAACTAAGCATAGGCAGGGCACAGTGGCTCCTGCCTGTAATCTCAACACTTCGGGAGGCTGAGGCAGGCAGATTGCTTGAGCTCGCAAGTTCGAGACCAGCTTGGGCAACATGGCAAAATCTTGGCTCTACAAAAAATACAAAAATTAGCTGGGCGTGGCGGCACACACCTTAGTCCCAGCTACTTAGGAGGCTGAGGTGGGAGGATTGCTGAGCCCAACAGGTGGAGATTGCAGTGAGCTGAGATTGCCTCACTGTACTCCAGCCTGGGCAACAGAGCTAGACCTTGTCTCAAAAAAAAATAAAAATAAAAACATAAAAAAAAGAATAATGAAGCATAAATGACTAGATATGTCACTTACCAAGGATATAGGAGTCAGCTCATTTTTTATTCATTCACTGGGCAACTATTTATGGAGTAGGGGTTAACACTTATTGAGCAATCACCATGTGGTAGATGCTGTGGATGTTGTAATGTGCCTCCGAGATCCTGCTTCTTGAATGAATGATTTCAGCTGGAGGGAGTGCTGTTGGCAGGCAGCCTTCAGCTGTCAGCCCCCTTCAGAGGATGCCTTAAATAAAGAGAGCTAATTTGCCCAAGGATACACCTCCAACACATCCTGGGCTTTCTCTCATCCAATGACTTATTGAAATAGGGTGCCAGGGAAGTGATAAAAGCATAGCCCTCTTGCCCCAACCCAGGACAGTTCTGAAAGATTGTCTTATGTTCAGAACTCCCTGCAGAGTTGACTTGTCTTTCAGCCCTTCCCCATTCCTGTTCCTAGCACTTTATCCATTCATTCATTCATTTCACAAATATTAATTAAGCACTTTTCATGAGACAGAATCCACAGGCAAGAGTATATTGGATATATATTCAACAAACTCTACACCATGTAGACTCTACCTCATGTTCATGATGCAGAAGATGTCCTCAGGGATGAAAAGAATCTAATAGAACATTAATATTAATTCCTTGCTTGGGTCTCTGCTAAAAAAAATGTAGAGAAACTCTCATTAAACTGTATTTAATAGAGACAAATAATAGGAACTGAACCATGTCATAATAGATTAATTAATTCTCCCAAAACTAATTGAGAAAGGAGTTGTCAATAGATATCGTCACTGGAATCTAATGGTTTAATTTGGCAGACATCCCAGATAACATTTGGGGTCTATCTGTGTGGGATAAACCTTGCTGCCTTATTCTCCAGGAATGAATACATAGGTATTCCAAGTACAAATGCAGAGTTACCTGAATGCTTATGCAAGCATATTATGGGGTTTTGGTGTACTGTATGAATTAGTAGCATAATTAATAACAGGTCTACATATAAGTAATGCATAAAATATATTATATTTATCTGAAAGTGTTTCAGTAAAATAATGATATTCCATGTTTTAAAAAATAAACTTTATGAGGGAAGAAATGTTTATTACTATCATATGATTTTTTGATAATTTTTTCTAACGATTATGATTTACAGACAACTGATTTTTATGTTTTGGCCCAGTTTTATTTTCATACTGAGGAAGTAAGAAGAAATATTCAAGTTTTTCAAGATGGAGTGAGAGGAAATAGCCACTTCATATGGTGCTCTAGGATAAGAATTCTGCAATCAACAACAAAATACATGTCCTTAAGACGGTGTCATGGCTTAACTGTGCCTGCAATTTATGCATTTTACCACCAGAGGGAGATAAGGAATAATAGTCATCGGAAGCTCCTGAGCCTACAAGCTCCTAAGTGCGTCAATTTTTTTGATTGAAGATAATTCACTCTCCCTCTAAATAATAAGCATACATTTTCAAATTTTGAATGCACTATATATTTTCTAAAATATAAAAATAAGCTATTTTTAAGCAATCTATTTACTGAAAGACAATACCTTAGAAACAGGGGTCAACAAACTTTGTAAGGCAGATAGTATAGTAAATATTTTAGGCTTTGTGAGTCATGATTTCTGTTGTAACCACTCAACTTTGCCATGTAGTTGAAAACAGCCATAGGCAATATGTAAATGAATGAGTACCCTATTTCAAGAAAACTTTAGTTATAAAATCAGACAGTGGGCTGGGTTTGGCCCATAGGCTATGATTTGCTGATCGCTAACTCAAAATTAAGTATTACGAATTCAGTTGCCTACAGTAAAGCAGGCTCTGTAGAGACCATGACAAATCAGGGAGCACATATTTTATTTAATAGCCAGCTCCACTCAGCTCCAGCCGATAGTAACTAGGCAGAATGTGAGCCTAGCATGACCAGATCTTTCTATTTTTCAAAAACAGATGGAAACCTGTATTTTTACATATTTCCCTATTTTAAAATTTTGGCAATTAGTTCAGACACCACCACCACCACCACCATACACACCTTGGGTACCCAGAAAGCAACTGCACAGACTGCATTTGTCCTGTTGAGCAGCTTCTGCTGCAGAGCAACTTTTAAAAATTAAAAATTAACCAGGCTGGGCATGGTGGCTCATGCTTGTAATCCCAGCACTTTGGGAGGCCAGGGTGGGTGGATCACCTGAGGTTGGGAATTCGAGACCAGCCTGACCAACAAGGGGAAACCCCGTCTCTACTAAAAATACAAAATTGGATGGGCGCGGTGGCGCGTGCCTGTAATCCCAGCTACTCAGGAAGCTAAAGCAGGAGAATTGCTTGTACCCGGGAGGTGGAGGCTGCAGTGAGCCGAGATCACGCCATTGCACTCCAGCCTGGGCAACAAGAGCGAAACTCCGTCTCAAAAAAAAAAAAAAAAAATTAACCAATATGCTGAAGACAGATGTGAAGATTTCTATCATTCTTTCATGTAAGTAAAGGAAATCAAAATATTTTACCCCAAAATATATTTCTTTAACATATTTTGAAATGGCTGCTGCAGAGCTGGCAAAGCGAAATGGCCTTGCAAAGCTGTCTTTTATGGGGTAAAATCTGCATCTGTAGAGAATCTCCATTAACACAACCAGGCTCTAGGAGAGATTCAGAGTCTTACACCTTTAAAAGTCTAAAAAGAAACATGTACCTTTGAGGGAGCCTTTATCTACATAATAATGCCAGCTCTGCTGACCAAGCCTATTTCTTTCTCTGGCCCTTAAACTGTCCTGCCACCAAAACCTGTTTGGGGGCAGGCACTGAGTCGTCATTCTTTCTTTAATCTCCAGATAGTATAAAAGCTTCTGTATTGTTGGGTTGGATCTTCATTCTGAAAGTTCCTGTATAGACATGCTAAATTGTATACCTTTTCTGCTATTAATCAACCTGCCTCATGTCAGTGACTTTTTTTAGTGAATCTTTAGAGGGCCAAGAGCCTATGGCCCCCACATAAACACTTACATAGCACTGATTAAGTGGGAGGCACTATTCTAAGTGCTTTGTCTATATTAGCTCATGAATTATCCTCACAGCAACCTTGTAAGGTAGGTGCTATTACTGTTTCACCCTGGGCAAAGAGAAGCTGAGTAATACCCAAGGTTACACAGCTGAGGTCTGGCAGAGCTGGGATTTGAACCTAGGCAGCTCTAAGGTAGAGTCTGTACACATAACCCATTAGGCTGTAACTTATCGGAAAGGGGTCTTGATCCAGACCCCAAGAGAGGGTTCTTGGTTCTTGTACAAGAAAGAATTTGGGGCGAGTTCATGGAGTGAAGTGAAAACAAGTTGATTAGGAAAGTAAAGGAATAAAGAAGAGCTACTCCATAGGCAGAGCAGCAGCACTGGCTGCTTGTCTAAGGACATTTATAGTCATTTCTTGATTATATGTTAAACAAGGGGCAGATTATTCATGAGTTTTCTGGGAAAGGAGTGGTCAATTCCTGGAACTGAGGGTTCCTCCCTGTTTTAGACCATATAGGGTAACTTCCGGATGTTGCCATGACACCTGTAAACCGTTATGGCACTGGTGAGAGTGTCTTTTAGCATGCTAATGTATCATAATCAGTGAATAATGAGCACTGAGGACGACCAGAGGTCACTTTTATTGCTGTCTTGGTTTTGGTGAGATTTGGCTGGCTTCTTCACTGCATGCTGTTTTCTCAGCAAGGTCTTTATGATCTGTACCTTGAGCTGACCTCCTATCTCATCCTGTGACTTAGAATGCCTAACCTCCTGGGAATGCAGCCCAGTAGGTCTCAGCCTCATTTTACCCAGCCCCTATTCAAGATGGAGTCACTCTGGTTCAAAGGCCTCTGATGTAACCGTCTCCCTTCCATGGCTGCTTTCCTCTCTTAATCCTGCACTAAGCTACAGCAATAGAGAGAAGAAGACTCTTGTCTCTCTTCTAACTAGACTTGGGCCTCAGGGTCAAGGTTTCTTCCCAGTCAACTTATCTTCCCAACCCAAGTGTGGACTTTGTGGCTTTGGGGAAAGTCAGGTCTGAGATGACTTCATCCCCTACTGTGAGGCAAACTCCCTAGCAAATGTCAAGTTGAAAGTTTGGATCACCCCATCACTTCTGTGTTTATATTTTATTGTAATTATTTTTCAGTAAAGCTTACTGCTCTGGAATTTGGATTAACTCTACACACAATATTTAGTTTAATTATCCATCGTGCTTTTCTAATTTGTTCTAGCAAGCCCCAAGAAAATGACTTCAGATAATGTGTGGAAAGATTTCTTTCTTAAAGCTACAGTAACTGAATATAAGAAAAGGCCATCAAATGGAAATTAAAATTGCTTTAAAAGGATAGTGATAACTCATGTCTAAGTTTGCTCAGTTGAAATCACAGTTTTGAGAGAGAAGTAGAATTTTTTTTCTCTAGCAAACTTAAAAGAAATGACGAATTAGGTACTTGTGTCACTTTTCTAAAATGCAGCTATGAGTTTTATTGCTGATTCTTGAAGATATTCTGAAAAGTAATTTCAGCTGCAAAGGAAATGCAGGAGGCAAAACAAATTATAGTCCCTCTTTTCAAAAAATGTGAATACCTCTGGGAGACCAGTGAAGCTATCAGTCATACACAATTTAATATGCAATACTTTTTGCAGCAATGTTTTCCTTCTAATGCCCACAGAAGCTAGATTCTGCTGGGAAAGGAAAGTTTTAGAACTTCTGGGGTCACGTGAGGCTTATGGTGATAATGCATGTAGTTTCGTAACAGAAACAGGGTTTGCCTGGAACTGTCCCAGTTTTAAAACTGAAAGTCTTGTATCCTAGGAATGCCCTCAGTACCAGGCAAACCGGGACACTCAGTGACCCTAAGATCACCGGACGGCGTTTGTGATTTCCTGTCTAGTTCTGCTCTCACTTCCCTCCTCTCCTCACAGCTAAGCCATCTTAACTGCTACTTACAGATATGGCCCCACAGGCTCTGAATAACCTCCTCAGTGCTTTCCAAACCTCCTTGACTGTGGGAATCACCTGGGTGCTTGCCAAACCCAGATTCCCAGGCTGCACTTTTGGTAATTCTCATCCAGAGGTTTGCAGTAGGTCCTGAGAGTCAGTGAATTCACCAAAGCCAGGGGAGTCTTATAATTGGAGAAGTTTGGGAAGCACTAATTAGCCTACATTCAAAGGGGTATGCAAGTACTCTAGTTCAAGAACCAGGAGGCTCAGTATAATCCACACTCGCTGTGGCCTGGCTTGGCCACTGGGACTGTCAGAGGCATTCGAACCAGAACAACTTCATCTTGAATAGGGGCTAGGTAAAATGAGGATGAGACCTGCTAGGTTGCATTCCTAGGAGGTTAGGCTTATTCACAGGATGAGATAGGAGGTCAGCATAAGATACAGGTTATAAAGACCCCACTGATAAAACAGGATGTGGTCAAGAAGCCAGCCAAAACCCACCAAAACCAAGGTGGCAACAAAAGTGACCTCTGGTCATCCTCACTGCTCATTATAGGCTAATTATAATGTATTAACATGATAAAAGACACACCCATCAGTACTATAACAGTTTACAAATGCCATGGCAATGTCTGGGAGTTACCCTATATGGTCTAAGAAGGGGAGTAACCAGCCCAGCGCAGTGGCTCATGCCTGTAATCCCAGCACTTTGGGAGGCCAAGGTGGAAGGGTCACTTGAGATCAGGAGTTCAAGACTAGCTTGGTCAATATCGCAAAACTCCCGTCTCTACTAAAAATACAAAAGTTAGCTGGAAGAACCCTCGGTTCCAGGAGAAACCCCTGCCCCATTCCAGGAAAACTCACGAATAATCTATCCCTTAAGTAGCATATACTCAAGAAAATAACCATAAAAATAGCCCGCTAGCAACCCTTGGGGCCGCTCTGTCTATGGAGTAGCCATTCTTTTATTCCTTTACTTTCTTAATCAACTTGCATTCACTTTACCCTATGGACTCACCCTGAATTCTTTCTTGCACGAGATCCAAGAGCCCTTTCTTGGGATCTAGGGATCGGGACCCCTTCCCAGTAAGAGGACCATTGCTAGCAACTGGTTTCCAGGGGGCTCCCCACACACTTAGGAACTGATCCCTGAATATTTGTCCAGGGGCTGACCTTTCCTGCCTGCTGACAGAGGTCTCTGCTTCTTCCTGCTTTTCTGAATGTCTGGAAATAGCTTATTCTGAGAGTCGCCATTTTCTGTCCCTGTACTCTCATGGAGTCTACCACTCTCAAGGTCATTGCCCTGTGTGTGGAACTGCCACATCTCACCTCTACCTGCAGCTGAGTTTGCTTCTCTGTGAGTCTTCACTGTTCCTGGCCTCTCCTAGTTTCTCCTGTAGACTGTGTTTAATGCTTTTCTGTCAAAATGTTTTAAGAGATTCACCACGATGAGAAGAATGCAAAAGGCAAGGGATACTGCTTAAGGGTGTGAGCCCCTGAGCTGACTGCTGAAGTTGAACTCCAGCTGTGTGATCTTTGGCCTCAGTTACTTAACCTGTGAAATGGGGATAATCATAGTATTGATTTCCTTACATTGTTGGCAGGGTTAAATGAGAAGATATCTGTAAAGCATTTAGCATGGTGCCTGACACCTTTGAAACTGTAAATGTTAGCTATCATCATCACTCTTATTATTACTAGTGC
The DNA here is from genome assembly GCF_000001405.40 of Homo sapiens. Lineage (NCBI taxonomy): Eukaryota > Metazoa > Chordata > Mammalia > Primates > Hominidae > Homo > Homo sapiens. The sequence goes on from NC_000006.12 coordinate 15,899,072, forward strand.
TCTTATCATCATTAATTGTTATATTATTTTTACTAGGAAGTAGGAGAAGGATATAGAAGATAGGGCAGGAGAAGATCCTTTATCTTTTAAAAAATTTGCCATGGAGGCTGAGTGCAGTGGCTCATGCCTATAATCCCAGCACTTTGGGAAGTTGAGGCAGGAGGATCACTTAAGCCCAGGAGTTCGAGACCAGCCTGGGCAACATAGAGAGACCCTATCTCTACAAAAAGTCAAAAAATTAGCCATGCATGGTGGTATGCGCCTGAATTCCAGCTACTGGGGAGGCTGAGGTGGGAGGATTGCTTGAGCCCAGGAAGTCAACTGTGTAGTGAGCCTTGATCACACTACTGCCTCCAGCCTGGGCCACAGAGTAAGACCCTTTCTCAAAAAAACGGCCAGGTGCAGTGGCTCACACCTGTAATCCTACCACTTTGGGAGATGGAGGCAGGCAGATCACTTGAGGTCAGAAGTTCAAGACCCGCCTGGCCAACATGGCAAAACCTCGTCTCTACTAAAATTACAAAAATTAGCCAGGTGTGGTGGCATATTCCTGTGGTCCCAGCTACTTGGGAGGCTGAGGCATGAGAATCTCTTGAACCTAGGAGGTGGAGGCTGCAGTGAGCCAAAATCACACTACTGCATTCCAGCCTGGGTGACAGAGCAAGATTCTGTCTTAAAAACAAAACAAAACAAAACAAACAAACAAAAAAACCGAGCAAACAAAAATTTGCCAGGGGCTTTTGAAAGAGATATTCTCCCTCTTCTTCATCTGCTCATCTTCCTCACCATACCAAAGGATTACAGCAGCTGCAGTTTCAAAAAGAACATCAGGATACATGACCTGACCATTCAGTGGGAAGAATTTAATTTCCAAACACTTCTAGAAAATTCCAGTGATATGATCAGGCATTTGATTTCTGCTTAGAGGACCAAGAATGTAAGCTAAGACTATTTAGTATAGATACATTGGATGTATGGAAGTTTTATGGGATGGTCTATAAATCCAGCCTCCATACATGTTGTGAAACCCTAATAGCCAACTCACATCTGGATTTTAGCAATATAACCCATTGCTATGACAACTATTAATTATATCATGTTGTGCCCCAACTCAGTGCACTGGAGTACTCTCCAAAGGGAAACACATTTACATGAATCAATTTATCTTTCATCTCATATCAAAGAAGCCAATCAGATTATTTTTGCCCAGCGGATCTATTATTAAAGGAACAATTTTGTCTTTAAGTCCCTACTTATTGATGAACAGAATTCATCTTATTTATAATACCAGTATGAAAGGCAAGGTCTTCTGCAGATTAAAGAAAGCTAGTTACTTCAGCAGTACACTTCAGACGTGTACATGCACAGGCCAGCAGTCACTATTTTTCCAGAGTCCTCTCCACATGGAAAGGTTAGAAAAAAGGAAATCCCAATTGCACTCTCAATTAAACAGCCACTGAGTGCTCCAAAGTATGGTTTTTAGCAATGTACTTTATTTTTATTTTTATTTTTGGAGATGGAGTCTTGCTCTGCTGCCCAGGCTAGAGTGCAGTGGTGCAATCTCAGCTCACAGCAACCTCCGCCTCCCGAGGTCAAGCTATTCTTCTGCCTCAGCCTCCTGAGTAGCTGGGATTACAGGCGCCCGCCACCGTGCCTGGCTAAGTTTTTTTGTATTTTTAGTAGAGATGGGGTTTCACCATCTTGGCCAGGCTGGTCTTGAACTCCTGACCTCGTGATTACAGGCGTGAGCCCAGCCAACAATGGATGTTTTTGACTCTAGGTCTCTTGCACGCAACATCTCAAGCTTTCCAGCAGTGGTAGTGTTACCAGTGGTGGAATTCACACAAATCTGCAGCAAACTCGATCCTTGTCTCCTTGGAGGAAAAAATTCTGCTGAGGGGCAGACACAGGTTTAAAGCAAAGGGAAAGACTGAGGCAAGTTTTAGAGCAGGGATGAGAGTTTATTAAAATGTTTTAGAGCAGAAGCAAAAGGAAGCAAAGTACATATGGAAAAAGGCCAAGCTGGCAACTTGAGAGGCCAACCGCCCCATTCAGCCTTTGACTTGGGGATTTATACATTGGCATGATTTTGGGGCTTTCTTTTCTCCTCCCTTGATCCTTCCCTTGGGGCGGGCTGTTGCTCAACCACCACATGCACAGTGTTGCTCAGCACTTGGGAGGGTGACTGCGTGCATAGTTTATTTTACTGCAGTTGCGCGCATGCTCTCTAGGGGCAATTTTCCTTTACCGGTCGACTGTTCCCAGGTGAAGGTCATATACCTGCCACTTTGCCTCTTAGTGTGCATGCTTGGGCCTGCTTGTCCAACCCCTGAACTCTTATTGAGAAGCTGCTGATCACCAGCTCCAGGTATTTTCTATCTACTGGGAGCCTGTCTTTGCCTGGTGCCGGCTGTGACCAATTATCATTTCAGAGAGAGTTTAACAACCGCCTGATCATCACCTGATGGTCACCTGACACTCCTGGGGGTGCCCTCTCCTGCCCTGCTCATATCTGCCTATCTACTCTAACAGTAGAAACATTCTAACACACACTTTATAGTTTTCACGTGGCAGCTAACTTTGTACAGGCATTGCAAATTCAGATGGGAAGAGCTCCACCTATGATTTTTGTCTGAGACTTTAAGGTTAGTAAAGAAGGTCAGACGTTTCTCCTCCCCTGGGACTCCCATGAGCTCAAAACCTCAAAGATGTTTCACCAAAATGACAGGCAATGTTATTTTGGTTAGAGATATGCTTCTTCAAGGAGAAGTGAAAGCATCTCAGCTTCAGGAGTGATATGACTGTGTGCCCTTGAGCACGTTTCATGGCATGGAAATGAAGAGACCACTCCCTTCAAGGCAGTGAGTCATAGCTCCGTTGGGGTCCATGTTGCTCCTAAGAATCCTTTCAAAGCTGGGCATGGTGGCTCATGCCTGTAATCCCAACAATTTGGGAGGGTGAGGCAAGAGATGTACTCGAGCCCAGGAATTTAAGACCAGCTTGGGCATATTAGTGAGTCCCCATTTCTCCAAGAACTAAAAAATTAGCCAGACATGGTGGCACCCCCCTGTAGTCGTAGCTACTCAAGACACTGAGTGGGAGGATTGCTTGAGCCCAGGAAGTTGAGGCTGCAGTGAGCTATGATTGTGCCACTGCACTCCAGCCTGGGTAGCAGAGCGAGACCCTGGCTAAAATAAAATAAAACAAAAAAAAACTTACTTGTGTTGGGTGCCTTTTGTGCTGTCCACTCAGGTGACATCCACCCTGGCCTCCTCTTCCTTGGCAGTCCTAACCATAGCACTCAGCACTTTAGCCTGTAAGGGATGTTAGTGGAGTGTCCACAGCTAAACCAGAACCTACTTGGGAGTGGAGACTGTGAGCTGTCCCTTTTGTCTCTCATAGCTCCTATAATTCCAGTGACTGGCCAGTGTGGTGTCTCATGCCTGTAATCCCAGAACTTTGGGAGGCCGAGGTGGGCGGATCACCTGAGGTCAGGAGTTCAAGACCACCCTGGCCAAAATGGTGAAAACCCGTCTGTACTAAAAATGCAAAAATTAGCTGGGCATGGTGGTGGGTGCCTGTAGTCCCAGCTACTTGGGAGGCTAAGGCAGGAGAATAGCTTGAACCCGGGAGGCAGAGATTGTAGTTAGCCAAGATGGTGCCACTGCACTCCAGCCTGGGCAAAAAGAGCAAGACTCTGTCTCAAAAAATAATAATTCTAGTGGCTGATGAAGATGAAGAAGAAAGATGATGATGATGACAGGTTAGCAGCAATAGCAGCTAACATTTTGGACTACCAAAGCTGATGCTGAACTGTTTTCACTGGATTTCTCATTTCATCCTCACAAGAATGCTTTGTGGTACAGATAAAGAGGCTGAGACTAAGAGAGGTTAAACGGCTTCTTAAGGTTGCCGTAGGGTTGAATAGTCTCTCCCCAGTATTCATTTCTACTCAGAACCTGTGAATGTGACCTTATTTGGAAATAGGATCTTTATTAAGTTTAAGATGAAGTCATACTAGATTAGGTTGAGCCCTAAAGTCAATAATTGGTGTCCTTAGAAAAAGAGGAAAATGTGGACACAGACACAGAGGATGCACACAGGTTAGGAGGCCATGTGAAGACAGAGGCAGAGGTTGGAGTGATGCTGCCACAAGCCAGGGAATGCCAGGGATTGCTGGCAACCACCAGGAGCTAGAAGAAAGACATGAAGCAGATCCTTTCTCTAAACCTCCGGAAAGAACCAACCCCAATGACACCTTGATTCTGGCCTTCTAACCTCCAGAACTGTTAGAGAATACATTTCTGTTGTCTTAAGCCACACAGTTTGTGGTAACTTGTTACAGCAGCCCTAGCTGATGGATATAGTAGTTTCACAGATACTTGGTTGAATAAACTGACTTGGGTGGTGTATTAGTCCATTCTCACGCTGCTAATAAAGACATACCCAAGACTGGGTAATTTATAAAGGAAAAAAGTTTAATTGACTCACAGTTCCACAGGGCTGGGTAGACCTCAGGAAACTTACAATCATGGTAGAAGGGGAAGCAAACACATCTGTCTTCACATGGTGGCAGCGAGGAGAAGTGCAGATCAAAGTGGGGAGAAAGCCCCTTATAAAACCATCAGATCTCATGATCTCACTATCATGAGAAGAGCATGGAGTAACAGTCCCCATGATTCAATTACCTCCCACAGGGTCCCTCCTATGACATGTGGAAATTATGTGAACTACAGTTCAAGATGAGATTTGGGGCCAGGCACAGTGGCTCACACCTGTAATCCCAGCACTTTGGGAGGCCAAGGCGGGCAAATCACTTGAGGTCAGGAGTTCGAGACCAGCCTGGCCAACATGAGGAAACCATGTCTCTACTAAAAATACAAAAATTAGCTGGGCGTGGTGGCACACACCTGTAGTCCCAGCTACTTGGGAAGCTAAGGCAGGAGAATCGTTTGAACCTGGTAGGCAGAGGTTGCAGGGAGTAGACATTGTGCCACTGCACTCCAGCGTGGGCAACAGAGTGAGACTTTATCTCTCAAAAAGAAGAAAAAAAAGATGAGATTTGGGTGGGGACACAGCCAAACCATATCAGGTAGTGACTTGAACCAACCTATAACTCACCTAACTCATCTGAGAGATCTGCATAGCATTGATTGCTATGAGAATCCAATGTAATAATGTAACTGCCCCATGGGTTCTCCTTACCCTCTGCCTAGACAGAGCTGATTTATTAAGACAGGAGAATTGCATTAGAGAAAGATTTCAATTCATGCAGAGCTGGCTGTATGAAATTTTATTATTACTCAAATCGGTCTTCCTGAGAATTTGGGAATTGGAATTTTTAAGTATAATTTGGTGGGTAGGGGCCAGTGAGTTGGGAGTGCTGATTGTTTGGGTTGGAGAGGAAATCAAAGGGAGTTGAAGCTGTCCTCTTGCACTGAGCACTTCCTGGTTGGGGGCCACAAGACCAGATGAGCCAGTTTATCGATCTGGGTGGTGCCAGCTGATCCATGGAGTACAGGGTCTGCGAAATATTTCAAACACAGAACTTAGGTTTTATATTAGTGACGTTATCCCCAGGAGCATTTGGGGACATTCAGAATTTTGCAGCCTCCAGCAGCATGACTCCTAAACCATAATTTCTAATCTTGGGGCTAATCTGTTAGTCCTGCACAGGCAGTCTAGTCCCCGGGCAGGAGGGGGATTTGTTTTGGGAAAGGGCTGTTACTATCTTTGTTTTAAACTATATGTTCCTTCCAAACTTAGTTCGGCCTATGCCCAGGAATGAACAAGGACAGCTTGGAGGTTAGAAGCAAGATGGAGTTGGTTAGGTCAGATCTCTTTCACTGTAATGATTTTGTCAGTTATAATTTTTGCAAAGGTGGCTTCAGTAACACTTTTGCCACAACAAAATCTTTGGCTCTCAGTGTGCTTTGTTGTTTTGGTTAAAGTACTTCATAAAGTATAGCAATGCAAGCATTTGAATATGCACAGAACCCCTCTGGAGTCATCCACAGGGAATTGGTAGAGGAGGTGGTCTCTGTGTAACTGCCCAGCGGGTTCTTCCTGCCTACTGCACAGACAAAACCAATTCACTGAGACCACAGGATTGTAATGAAGAAAGAGTTTAGTAGACACGAGGCTGGCCATGCCATGTGGGAGACAGAGTTGTTACTCAAGTTGATCTCCCAGAAGATTCAGAGGCTAGGATTTTTCAAGGATAGTTCGTTGGGCCAGGGAGTCTGCTTCTGGATGAGATCAAGACTGGTGGGCAGGGGCCTGTGGGTCCGGGTGGAGCTATTGCCAAAATGCAAAAACCTGAAAAGACATCTCAAAAGGCCAGTCTTAGGTTCCACAGTAGAGACGTTACCTGCAGGGGTAATTGGGGAAGTTGCAAATCTTGTGATCGCCAGAATAATGGTGGTAATCATTTACATCTATACCTTAGCAGAATTCAGGTTCTTCACATCCTCCCCGTGGCATTTCACTCTCTTTACAAAGGCATTTAATTTTGGAGAAGGGCTATTACCATTTAAACTATAAACCAAATGTGTCGCAAAGTTAGCTTGGCAAAAGCCCAGGAATAATTAAGAAGGGCAGCTTGGAGGTTAAAGGCAAGGTGGGGGTTGGTTAGATCAGATATCTTTCACTGTCATAATTTTCTCACTGTTACAATTTTTGCAAAGGCAATTTCATCTGGGGATGGGAACTGGTTGCGGGGAGTCAGGTGTGGGTGAGGACTTAGTCTTCACTGTTTACATTATTGAATTGGGTTACGTATTCATGCAGCACCTATTTTAAAAGGTAAAAATTTAAGTGATAAAGAGCTATGTGACAGTTATTCCCTGTGACTCACTTTCCTCTTCCTCTTTCTGTTTCTCTCTGTTGCTGTGTCTTTGGTGAAGCAGAGGGTAGAGGACATCATGGGTCAATGAGCTGTGGGTTGGGGCCCAGGACAAGGATAAACATTCCAGATCAAGAGTTGAGTGCTTGTCTCCCACACAGTACTCCCACTCCCTGCTCTGAGGCTACTTGCTGCTATCTTCATTGTGCATGTCAGGCAACGCAAATTCCCCCCATCCCCCATATACTCAGACCTCCAATCATTTGTCAAGTAGCTCATACGATATTATGTCGAGGGCCTGGGGCAGTACTTGCCCATAGCAAGTGCTCAGCTGAAATGCACTGAGGTACATGGCTGGAGCCCTACCCCGATTCTTACTGGATGAAGGCTTCCTCCCTCCCCTTGTTAGGCTGAGCCCCAGGCAACTTTTCCAGAAAGGGTACAGCTGTGGGGACAGGAGGGCATACATGCAGCACCCAGAAATGATTCTATCTTCTCTTCCATCCCTATTAGGCCAATCTTTCAGAATTTATGAAATATCAAGCAATGTAATCAAATGAGGAATCCGTTGCACGCACTGTGGGCCTGAAATACCAAAGGCAGCACAGTGAGGAACAGAAAGGAGGAATGCAATCTGTTTCCAGCAAGTTAAGGTAGAATTGAGCTTGCCTTCCTCCCCCACCTTCTCACTTAGCCTTTCACCAGAAAAATCATGCAATTTCCCCTTCTCTCTAATGTATACTAATGTATGGTATTTGTAGTGGATGAAATTGCCATGCAGGAATTTGGGATGCTGGTATCTGAGGAGGCAGATGTCTTGCGAAAAGGTTACCATGAACCTGTGGGGAGGGGTGTTGCCCACCGCCAGGGATCTACAGCTGAGACTGCTCTGCCTGGGCCTCCCACACGCTGGCTGGCATCTGGCTGGACTGGAACTGTAACCGCCAAATGGGTTCACCTTGCCCGCTGCCTAGACAGAACCAATTTATCAAGACAGGGGAATTACAATAGAGAAAGAGTAATTCACACAGAGCCGGCTGTGTGGGAGTCCAGAATTTTATTATTACTCAAATTAGTCTTCCCGAGCATTCTGGGATCGGATCTTTTAAAGACAACTTGATGGTTGGGCGCGGTGGCTCACACCTGTAATCCCAGCACTTTGGGAGGCCGAGGTGGGTGGATCACCTGAGGTCAGGACTTCGAGACCAGCCTGGCCAACATGGAGAAACCCCATCTCTACTAAAAATACAAAAATAAGCTGGGCGTGGTGACTGCGCCTGCAGTCCCAGCTACTCGGGAGGCTGAGACTGGAGAATCACTTGATCGAGGGAGGCAGAGGTTGCAGTGAGCTGAGATGGCACCACTGCACTCCAGCCTGGGCTACGGAGCAAGACCCTGTCTCAAAAAATAAATAAATAACATAAAGACAACTTGGTGGGTGGGGAGAAGCCAGTGAGCCGGGAGTGCTGATTGGTCAGGTCAGAGATGAAATCGTAGGGAACTGAAGCTGTCCTCTTGTGCTGAGTCAGTTCCTGGGTGGGGGCCACAAGATCAGGTGAGCCAGTTTATCCACCTGGGTGGTGCCAGCTGTGCCAGCTGATCCATCAAGTGCAGGGTCTGCAAAATATCTCAAGCACTGATCTTAGGAGCAGTTTAGGGAGGGTCAGAATCTTGTAGCCTCCAGCTGCATGACTCCTAGACCATAATTTCTAATCTGTGGCTAATCTGTTAGTCCTACAAAGGCAGTCTAGTCCCCAGGCAACAAGGAGGCTTCTTTGGGGAAAGGGCTGTTATCGTCTTTGTTTTAAACTGTAAACTAAGTTCCTCCCCAAATTAGTTCAGCCTATGCCCAGGAATGAACAAGGACAGCTTGACGTTTAGAAGCAAGATGAAGTTGCTTAGGTCGGATCTCTTTCACTGTTTCAGTTACAATTTTGCAATGGCAGTTTCAGAACCACTAACCTTATTTTGGCTCACAAACTTATATATGCTTTTCTGGACTTGCCCTCTCCCTTAGCTATACTTGTTTTTTTCCAAGATACTCGTTTTGACTCAAAAGAAAATTGTAATAGGGAAGAAATCAAATCTTCACCTTACTGCGAGGCAAACAGGAGTTGGAGAGGTTTGAAAGTGTTCTCAATTAGAGGACGGAAAAAAGTGTGACAGGTAGGCCACAGGGAAATGCTTTTCATTTGTTCAGACAGTCACATCAGAAAGAACCAATCTGTTAGAAATACTAAACGGGTATTGGTATGGATTTAGAACAAAGGCTACTGACATAAACATGAGCACGCACATGTCTGCAGTTCTGAGCTGGAAGACACATCTGTTTATTAAGGGCTCAGTCCCCTAGGGGCAGAGATGCCCAGACCGGTTAGACTGGATTGGGAGTCCATTATGGATTGAATCCATTGTGCTTGGGCCACCTGTCTGCTTGTGATAAGAGAGAGGCCCCGGAAGGCGGAAGAATCATCGGTTTCCCTGGTCAGATGAGGCATCAGGGGTGGTTTTTCCAAAGGGAGCTGTGTGGTTTTACTTTCCCCACGTAAGGATTGAAAATCATGTTATTTGCTTCATACTAATATACGTAGGTCTACATATGTGTAAAACCTCATTGAATCTCCTCCGCCAGCCAGTCGGGTGTTAATTGCCATTGACATCATTTCCACTTCACAGATGAGCACACCACAGTCCAGAGAGATTTAGCATCAGGTTATAATGTTTGGTGTTTGGACCCAGATAGTCTGGAGTCAGGAGGCTATGCAGATTAATCCAGTGGGCTCTTTATCACCGAAATAGAGCTCACTCATACATTCCAGAAGTATTTACTGAGATTCTGAGCGCTGGATGCCATTCCTGGTACAGGGTGTTGGGGAGGGAAGATGGGGGACCCAAATGTGAATAATGCTCAGCTCTGGCCTCTGGGAGCCCACCTGCTGCTGCGGAAAACAGCCAATGATAAAATAATGGGTAGGACAGGGAGAGTGGGATGGGATCCCAAGAGATTCTCCTCATTCAGCTGTGGGGTGATGGTATCAAGGAAAGACTTCCTGAGGGAGGTGAATCTCAAAGGATGAAGGGGTTACTGGTGGGCAAAGCACTGGGGATGAACATGCGTGTGGTGGAAGATGCATGTGTGTGTGCGTGTGTGTGTGTGTGTGTGTGAGGTCTGTGTATAGTATGTTAGGTGTGTGGGTGTTTATGTGCGTGTCTCTGAGGAGTATATATGAGGTGTGAGAGACGGGGTGTGTGTGTGGCTATGAAGAAAGTCTATGAGCAAATCTGTATAGCCAGTATAAAGACTTGAAATGTACTAAACGCATAGACATGATAAATATTTGGGTGCTGGAAACCCTAAATGCCCTGACTTATCATTACCGACTATCCATGTAACAAAATTTCACATGTACCCTGTAAATACATTCAAATATAATGCATCAAATCAATCAATCAATAATAGAAGGGTTGTAAAAAAGCAGGGTTCAGGAGCTTGATTGTGGAGAAGCAGGCTGTACTGTGACATTAACTTTCGTGTGAAACTCGTATCAGGAAGATACAGACAGGGATTTTTTCATCTCTGATAATGACAGCTCTGAGCACCTGGAGGGAGGAAGGCCCTAAAGTAATCTCTGTAAATGAGTAGAGGGCTGAAAAGACAAGCAGAATGAGATAGTTAAAGAGGACGATTTAGCCTTTATTGGGTCCCGAGGTTCTAAAGGGCTAGTTAGGGAGAGCATGCTGAGGCTGTCCTTGCAGCAGACCTGATTCAGGGGAAGCTCCCAAAGTCCAAGGGTCGTGGGCAGCAGGCAAGGTGGCTCTGGTGGCAGCAGTCTTGAATTCAAATCCTGCTCCCTCCACCTGTGTGACAATGTGACCTGGGGTAAGTTGTTTACCATTGTGGAGCCTCACTTTGCTCACCTATGAGGCAAAGGTAAAGGCATGGCTTGCAGGTATGTTAGGAAGATAACACGAACTAAAAATATGTGGACCTAGTGCCTTGTGGGCACTCCGTAGAGCAGCTTTCTTTAGGTTCTTAAGTCAGGGCCATAGGAGGGTGGTTTTTCCCGACACTATCAAATACAGTGTCAAAGCATGATATTCCAACACATTGAGCTTTAAAGATCGAATTGGCTATTATTAGCAATTCATAATCCAGGCAGTGTCCAGTCTCTGAAATAGACTGTCAGGAATGGCAGAACAGTGGATTTTTGTAAGGCACCTGAGCGGGAACGAGGAAAACAGCAAAAAGCAGATTGGTCAACATCAGCTGACTCTGGGTTATTTTCCTTGTATGGGTGAAAGGAGATGGGACTTCCTTAACACTGGCTCAGGTTGACTGGGCTTCTTTTGATTAGTTGCTATGAATCTCCTGGGTTGCGTTTGTTTGTTTGTTTGTTTGTTTTGAAAACTGGCCTGTTTGGGTATTTTTCTGTTTTTTAAAATTTCTGTTTGCTTATGTGGCACTTATCATGAGTGATTGCATTTTGGTTTGGTGTGTTGGGGCTTAATGCAGGTGCTCAGTCCAAAACAATGGCCTCTTATAGATTTTATTTAAGGATAGAATAATACAGAGGAAATCTGCCCAGGCAAACAGAGACAGTATATGAATTGTTATTTAAAGGAGCACCTAAATATCTTGGTTTGAGTGCTTTCTGTTTGTGGTTAGAAAACAATTTCAGAGAGAACTGAATCACAACACTAGAGGCACCATAGGTGGTCTCCAGTGCTCTCTATGAGGGTTAAGACATTCTCAAAAGAAATAAATTTTAATTAACTTTAACTTAAATATATCTAGAAATTTCAAAGGACGGTAGGAGTCCAGAGGCACATTGTAAATTTTAATACATTTTATTTTTTTTATTTATTTTCTTTTCGAGATGGAGTCTCACTCTATATACTAGGCTGGAGTGCAATGGCGTGATCTCGGCTCACTGCAACCTCCACCTCCCAGGTTCAAGTGGTTCTCCTGCCTCAGCCTCCTGAGTAGCTGGGATTACAGGCACCCACCATCATGCCTGGCTAATGTTTGTATTTTTCTAGAGATGGGGTTTCACCATGTTGGCCAGGCTGGTCTTGAACTCCTGACCTCAGGTGATCCTCCCCCCTTGGCCTCCCAAAGTGCTGGGATTACAGGCATGAGCCACTGTGCCCAGACTAAATTTTAATACATTTTAAAGTAAAGATCACACACTTGGACATAGAGTATGGAATGATAGACATTGTAAACTTGGAAGGGAGGGAGGGCTGGAGCCCAGTGAGAGATGAGAAATCACTTAGTGTACATTATTCAGGTGATGGCTACACTAAAAGCCCAGACTTCACCACTAGGCAATATATCCAAGTAACAATAAAAATAAAATAAAATAAAAAGTAAAGATCCACTGTGTCCCCCTCCTCTAAGTCTAAAAAGTGTTAAATAGTTTAGGAATCATTATTCTTTGGCTTTAAGGTAATGCAATTTGAGATGTTTTATGCACAACATGAATGAGAATACCCCTCATTCACCTAAGATATATTTAATACAGATTTCTTAAGAAGAACAGCGTTTCTTCTAACCATTTCTTTGATTTGTTACTTTGAAGTAAGACAGTGAACTAGACTTTCTGGGATGGGGCTGAAATTGGCAAATACTGTGGGAATTTTGGTGTGTTTTAAAAGGCTATTTGAAAATGACGTTTTCTCCCAAAGAAAGAACAGCTTGGAGCATCTTGTATGAATCGTAGCTTGTGCTCTATAATTGCAAGGGTCATGCTAACTAGAAGAGTGACATTGCTTTATAATAGGATGTGCAAGACAATTAATTTAATAGAGAATGAGACTGAGGTATGAGAAACAGTTTGGTATTTCAGCATTCTCAGTTAAACACATTCGCTGGACAAAATTATGAATTGGGCCAAGAAGGTCAAGAAACTGTATTAGTTATCTACTGTTGTGTAACAATTCATTCTGACATTTAGCAGCTTAAAACAACAAACGTTTATTATTTTGTGCAATTTTTGAAAGTCAGAAGTCTGGGTTTAGCTGGGTGGTTCTGGCCCAGTGTGTGTCATGAGATGTAGTTGAGATGTTGATGTCGGCCAGAGCTACAGACATCTGGAGGTCTGCCTGGGGTTGCAAGACCCACTTCTAAACTCATTCAGGTGACTGTTGGCCGGATGCCTCTCCCACCTTACCCCATGGCCCTATCCATAGGGCTGCTCATAACATGGCAACTGGCTAATCCGAGAGCAAGTGATCTGAGAGACAGCCACCAGGACAGAAGCCACCATGCCTTTATAACCTAATCTTGGAAGTGATACACCATCACCTCTGCTGTATTCTACTGTCACACAGACCAGCTCAGCTACTGTGGTTAGGAACTGTAAGAGGGTGTGAATACCAGGAGGTGGGGGGGCCTTTGCTTCTTGGGAGCAAAAAGTGATGGTAGATCACTTTGAAGCTTGGCTGAGTCACTTATTACTTGTGTGGCTTTAGTCAAGTTACTTAAACTCCTTGTGCCTCTGCGTTCTCATTATAAAATAGAAACACTTGTCCTCACCTCTGACTTAATACATGCAGAGCACCTGGAGCAATGCCTGATACAGTGTAAGTATTAATACCATAGAAATGTCAGCTCTTACTTTTAGCTTGCGCCCTGCTGGCCTTACATTAGTTCTTCCCCACCTTGGTTGTTCCTGCCCTTCTTCCTTCCTTTTCTCTTGCAAAAAACCTTATTCTCCTTTACAATGCTTCATTTGCACTGACTGATGACAGAGTGTTTTTTTTTTTTTGAGATGAGTCTTGCTCTGACAGAGTTTTAGTATTATTCCTTCTGAATATATTTTCATATTAACTGAGAATAATATCTTGAACTTAAGGGTGAAGCTGCCAGTTGTATAGGGAAGGGCTTTGGAGAAGTGGTTGGGCTTTTCTTAGCTCCCTGGAATTTGCTCTTTGAAAGAAATACACATATTTGCATATGTCCCATGATGAATATAGTCCTAGGATTTGATAGTTCGTGGTTAAAAGACATTTTAGAAATGTCTTGGAAATACTAAGACTGAAGTTTCTTAAGTCAGTGTATGCTAAACTACACTTATATGTGTATGTGTGTGTGTGTGTGTATGTGTATATATACTCAGTGTATCTTAAATATACATAGTTCCTTATAAAAGAAATAAATGCACATCAGGCCAGGTGCAGTGGCTCACGCCTATAACTCCAGCACTTCGGGAGACCAAGGCCAGTGGATCACTTGAAGTCAGCAGTTTGAGACTAGCCTGGCCAGCATAGTGAAACCCCGTCTCTACAAAAATACAAAAATTAGTCAGGCATGGTGGTGCACACTTGCAATCTCAGCTACTTGGGAGGCTGAGGTTGGGAGGATCGCTTGAACTCGGGAGGCAGAGGTTGGAGTGAGCCGAGATGGTGCTGCTGCACTCCGGCCTGGCCAACAGGGTGAGACTCTGTCCTGAAAAAAAAAAACCAAACAGAAAAGAAATACATGCACATCAAAATTAATAACTTCTATGAACAAAAGGACACAACCAATAGAGTGAAAAGGAAGCCTATGGAATTGGAGAAAATATTTGCAAATCATATTTCTGCTAAGAGGTTAATATTTAGAATATAAGAATGCCTACAAATCGACAACAAAAACAAAACATCCTGATTAAAAATGAGCAGAGGCTGGATGCAGTAGCTCACACCTGTAATCCCAGCACTTTAGGAGGCTGAGGTAAGAGGATCACCTGAGCCTGGGAGGTAAAGGCTGCGATGAGCCATGATTGTGCTACTGCACTCCTCCTGCCTGAGTGTGACAGACAAAGTGAGACCCTGTCTCAAAAAGGAAGGAAGAAAGAAGGATGGAAAGGAAGGAAAAAAGGAGAAGGGAAAGGGAAAAGAAAAGAAAAGAAAAGGAAGGAAGAAAGAAAGAAAGAAAAGAAAGAAAGAAAAAGGCAAAGGACTTGAATAGACTTTTCTCTAAAGATATGCAAATGGCCAAAAAACACATTGAAAGATGTTTAACATCACTAATCATTAGGGAAATTCAAAAAAGCCGCAATGAAATACCACCTTATATCCATTAGGATGGCTGCTATAAAAAACAAAAACTCCAAACAGAAAACAAGTGCTTGTGAGGATGTGGAGAAATTGGAACTCTTGTACATGGTGGGAAGGTAAGATGGTACAGCCTCTATGGAAAACAGTATGGCAATTCCTCAAGAAGATAAAAAATAGAATTAACATACCACCCAGCCATTCTGCTTCTGGGTATGCACCCAGAAGAATTGAAAGCGGGGGCCAGGCACAGTGGCTCCCGCCTGTAATCCCAGCATTTTGGGAGGCCAAGGCAGGTGGATCACTTGGGGTCAGGAGTTCAAGACCAGCCTGGCCAACATGGTGAAACCCTGTCTCTACTAAAAATACAAAAATTAACTGGGCGTGGTGGTAGGCACCTGTGATCCCAGCTACTTGGGAGGCTGCAGCACGAGAATTACTTGAATCTGGGAGGTAGAAGTTGTAGTGAGTAGAGATCATGCCACCGCACTCCAACTTGGGCAACAGTCTCAAAAAAAAAAAAAAAAAAAAAAAAGAATTGAAGGCAGGGTGTCAAAGAGATATTTGCGCATCCATGTTCATAGCAGAATTATTCACAATAGCCAAATGGTAGAAGCAACCCAAATGTCCATTGATGATGAATGTATATTTAAAATGTGGTATATACCCTCAACTATTATTCAGCCTTAAAAAGAAAGGAAATTCTGACACATGCTACAAAATAGATGAATCATGAAGATATTCCACTGAGTTAAGTAAGCCAGTCATAAAAGGACAAATATTGTATGATTCCACTTCTATGAGGTTTCTAGAATAGTCAAATTCATAGAGAAAGCAGGTAGAATGGTGGTTACCAGAAGCTGGGGGAGGGTGAATGGATCGTCGTTAGAATTCCAGTTTTGTAAGATGAAAACAGTTCTGAAGATTGCTTGCATAGCATTATGAACATACTTAACACTACTGAAATGTACACTTACATGTTAAGATGGTAAATTTTACAAGTGTTTTACCACAAGAAAAAATAAAAATAATTTTGTTTTAAAAAAAGAACATCTAGCTCAAGTTAGACAAATTATCAGGAATTGAAATTAATGTTTGTTTTCAAGAATACATGTATATATAGTCTACATATTCTATATATATTTTACACATATATGTAGAAATAAAAAGACAATTTCAGAGAAAAGACTATTTTCTAAATTGTTAGTGATTGCCAAAGCAGAATTTTAAAAATAATTGTTATTGAAAGAGAAATGTGAAGATTTGAATTTGAATTATGAAATATATACTATTTAAGGCAAGAAGCAGAGGATTATTTTACTGAGGCCCACAGTCCCCCAAGAGAAAATTAAAACAGGTAAGGACTACACAGACATAAAATCAGCCCAATTTTCTTAAGAAAAATTTTTCTTAAGGGGAGATATAAATGTTATTTCTTAGTTTTAAGTGAAGAATAAGAAGCATAAGATTTCACACAATGAGTGCGACTATATAAATCCATACTTTCTCCAGCTTACCATTATGAGTAAAGATGAATAAAGAAAGAAAGAAGAACAGGGAGGCCACACTGAAGGCGGATGACATGGACGCACAGGGCTGGGTAAGTTCTGAAGGGCTGATGGAGCTGTTCCTTAAACCTCTTATCAGAGTTTGGAACTCAGCCAGCACCCTAACCAGCACCCTACCCTCAAATGATAAAGGAAGGTCACAGAGACCTCTGCATTCAAGTATTAGGTGGGAACACCTTATCTTTCCTGGCCTCCCTTCAGGTTCTTTGTGCAGACGGAACATTTATCTTATAAAAACTTTGAAGCAAGAATATGTCTCTTTCTTGCCCCCTCCTCCTGTTTTAAGTGCTGTGGACCAAGATAATTTTCCCTTTTTTGTCTTCCATAATATACTGTTTCCTGGCCTCAAAATGGGAACCACTGATTTGATCAGTGGTTTGAAAAGTGACCTGGTTTCTTTCCAGTGGCTGTAATTACTTCTACATGTCCCGTGTTCAGTGCAATTCGGTGACTTCATAGCGTTTCCAGGGAGGATGGCAGCTGTCAGTCCCATGGCCATCTTAAAGGGTTGTTGTAGAGCGAACTCTGACAGCCCTTTGAGATGGTCACGGGTTGTTGCTTCTGTGATATTGTGCTCTCCCTTACCAGGCCTAAGACCTGTAGGCCCCAGGCTCCTGTTAGAAAGATTTGAATGTTTAACACAAGAGGCTTTTCTGTTCTGAAAAACAGCTTGCCCCTGCCCTGATCCCCTTGATCTTTCTTGTTACACACAGGACTGAACAACCCATGGAAATCATGGAAATCACAGCAGGCAATAAACAACAATACCATCTTGTGTTCATGTAATGTTTGCACATACTGTATAACAGTTGTACCACCTTACTTCATATACAATCTCATTTGAGAACAATAGCAACCCAAGTTTGATAGGGCCAGTGTTATTTCCATTTTATAGATAAAGACTGGAAAGGGAGGCTCAACTAGAGCCAAAAAGTTTCAGAAACTTATCTAAGCCCACCCGCTAAGTTAGTTACAGAGTAAGTGCTACAACTCTGAACCCTTGACTCCAAAGCCAAAGAGAAGCAGGAGCCTAAGAGAATTGTGCATGATTTATCTTGCCGATAAAATAGGAGAGTTCCCTGACTTCCCTCACAGGACATGTGGCAGGGGTGTGGCTCATCTGTTCTATTGCCGCCCCTGCTCAAACCCCTTATGGGAGGAGGAGCATACAGATGGGCAGGTGCAGGAGCTGGGGTGCTGGGCTCCAGCCCCATGGCAGCATCCAGGAGTGGGAGCCTGTGACTCCCAAAGTCCAGATGGAAGTGTGTTACAGTGCGCTCTTTTAGCCTTGCTGTCCACAGACAGCTTAAGTGTTAAGCAGCTCAGTGATCCCTCTGCCTTTTTGCAAGGGCACAGGGCCAGTGTGACAGCTTTCTGTATCCCAAGCTCTTGTTCAGCATCCCAGAAGAATTGGGTCACACAAGGACTTGAAGGATGAATGCAGGGGTTTTATTGAGTGGTGGAAGTGGCTCTCAGTGGGATGGATCGGGAGCTGGAAGGGGGATGGAGTGGAAAGATGATCTTCCCCTGAAATTTGGCCATCCAGCAGCTGATTTCCTCTCCAATCATCCACAGCTAAACTCCTCTTGGCCTTCAGACATGTCTTTTCTTCTCTCTGCTGCACTGTTCTGCTCTTCTGTTCATTTGCTTGTCTCCTTCTCTTCTTCTGGGGTCTGGGCTTTATATAGATACAGGATAGGGGGAATGGTGGGCCAAAAGGCAGGTTTGGGCACAAAAGCAGGAATGCCTGTCCTCATTTGGGGCTGTGGGTATTCAGGCTTGAGGGTGGGGGCTTTGCTGGAGAATCGCCCACTTCTGCCCAGTATTTCCCTGTCTCATGTTCATATAACCAACATTAGAAGAGAGGGACAATATGCATCAGAAAAAAGTTCCGTGTCATTAAAAGACCACTTAGCCACTAGGCCTTAAGACCACCAGGTTTGAGGTTGCAACTATTTTCCCCACTCCACGCTGCATGAAACTGGATATATAGGGTCTTCAGTTGCTATGCCAAGTTTTAGGGGTCCTGTATTGTGCTGAGGAACCAGCACCCAAGATCTGAGCCGGGCCTTTTCAAGCCTCGGCAGACCCATTGGTTTCTGGGTGGCATCTCTCCTTTTTTCTCCTAACAGAGACTCCTTAGTGTTTCCTGGTAATTAGGAAAATGTTGAATGGCTTATGAAGTATTTGGTGGTCAATCATGCCTCATAAAATAGAGTTGCCAGGTTTTGCAAATAAAAATACGAGATGCCCACTTAAATTTAAATTTCAGATAAACTGCAAATAAATTTTTAGTAGGATATGTCCCCAATATTATATTTTATCTTGCAGCCTTACTCAAAGATAAATTAGAACACTAAACAGTTTGAGTTGTCTGGTTATGTTTAAGAGCTGCTATGGAAGCCATCTAATATTCTTGTGATTCTGTCCCCAGGGAATACCTCTTACTTTAAAAATGTTAATTTTTTGTCATCTTAACTCTAATAAGCCATTCTTAAGTTTCAGATAATTACATTGAAATTGAAACTCTGATCTCCTTATGAATTCACATTCCAGCGTGTTAAAGGGTTTCTTCTACATCTGAATTAATTGAATATTGGACAGGAGGAGGCTAGTAAATTCATCAAGAGAAATTTAATTTCTTTGTTTACTTGAAACACCTGAGCCCTTAAGCATGGTGTTCTAAATTCACCTAAAGCAAGATCAAAACTTACAGCAGAAAAGGGGAAAAATGAAACTGTGTATTGATGAGATTAAGATGGACAGAGCTGTATGCTGTTTACACAATTAAATGAGGTATATGTGAACATCTCCATGGTAACACGTCATATGGAGGCATTCAGAGTATGGGGAGATCAAAGGTTTGGTTTAATAGAAGGTTTGCATATGGACATTTTTAAAAATTGAAGAAAATTGTAATGTCTATGACAGAAAGTATGAAGGCTAGTGCATACCCAGAGAAATATACCACTTAATATTTGCTCATCAATTGAAACCCGCATTTTTCTAGAAATGCAAGGTTAAGAAAAGTGCAGGAGGATCCCGGCAAGCTAAAAGAAGTACCCATAAGATCAGAGTTTGGCTTTAAAGCCTGGTGTTTTCTGTCAGGTATGCCTGTCAACTCTAGCTCAATTGTACTCATCCTCACTTTACTGTGGTTCATATGGGCAGCTGTGTTTTCTTGCTTTGTGCCAAGCTCTAACCTTATACGTATTGGAGCTTTACATTCGGGCCCACGTTCACTCCAAGTTAGGAAAATGTAGTGGATATTTATTAGCCACAGCAGAGCTCCACTTCTGGGAAGGGAATCAATGAGTTACTGTAGCCATGGAGATAAAATGCTTTGATTGGGCCATCTCCACAGCCACAGGGAATCATTCATTCATCAAAGTCAACAAATATTCATTGACAGTCCTCTGGGTGCTGGGTGCGGCACTATTCTAGGCACTAGGATGTATCTGTTGTCTAGGGAAAAAAACAAACAAACAAAAATCAAAATCCTGGCCAGCGTGGTGGCTCACATCTGTAATCCTAGCACTTTGGGAGACCAAGGTGGGAGGATAGCTTGAGCCCAGGAGTTTGAGACCAGCCTGGGCAACATGGCAAAACCCCATCTCTACAAAAAGTACAACAAATTAGCCAGGCATGGTGGTCTGCACCTGTAGTCCCAGCTACTCAGGAGGCTGAGGTGGGAGGATTGCTTGAGCCTGGGAGGTTGAGGCTACAGTGAGCCGTGATTGCACCACTGCACTCCAGCCTGAGTGACAGAGTGAGACCCTGTCTGAACAAAAAGAAAAAAAAATCAAAATCCCTGCTCTAATGGGAGGATTACATTCTAGTGCGAGGAGACTGACCATCAAGACTGTTCATTTCTTTATTCCACCACAAATATTTATGAAGCTGCTGTGCACCAGGCACTAGGGAATGTGTATATATATATTTACACTATATATATATATTTTTTTTTATTTTTTGTTTTGTTTTGTTTTCAGACCGAGTCTCGCTCTGTTTCCCAGGCTGGAATACAGTGGTGTGATCTCAGTTCACCGTAACCTCTGCCTTCCAGGTTCAGTGATTCTTGTGCTCATGTCTCAGCCTCCTGAATTGCTGGGATTACAGGCACATGCCACCACACCGGCTAATTTTTATATTTTTAGTAGAGATGGTGTTTCACCATGTTGATCAGGCTCGTCTCAAACTTCTGACCTCAAGTGATCCACCCACCTCACCCTCCGAAAGTGTTTAGATTACGGGCTTGAGCCACCGCGCCCGGCCAACACTAGGGTATATTAATAAGCAAAATAGACAATAATCCTTGCCTTCTGGAGCTTACATTATAGTGGGAGGAGCTAGACAGAAATCTTAGCAAATTAGTATGTCAGAAGACAATAAATGCTATGGAAAAAAATAGAGTAGGATAAGGAGAGACAGCGATTTCTTGGGGGTTGAGGGGTACAATTTAAGTGGGTGGGCAGAGAAGCCTCACTGAGGAGACATAAAGACCCTGGGGGAGTGAGGGGCATCCGACTGTCTGGGTCATAATGGTCCTTTGGTTCAGGAACAGCTATGTAATTCAAGCCAGGCCAACCAACGCCTCTCCCTGGGATTTTTCAACCAAAGCGGACTAGAACCCACCATTTTTTCTCTCCCTTCAGGGAGCTGCAGGGAGGAAGCCGGGGGCTGCTAACAGCCATGCCTCTCCTTCAGGAGAAAATGATGATGGAGGAGAGAAAGAACAGGAGACAGGACATGGACATGGAGGTCCTGGGGGCCTGGAGAGCCGGGTTCATGGGGGCCCGGAGCCCACTCTGCCCCTGTCTCTTCAGCAGTTTGATTATGTGAGCCATTTTCCTTTTTTTGTGTCAGCTAACTCCAGTTGGGTGTCTGTGACTTACAGGCAAAGGGGGAGACCACACAGAAGGGAAAGGGAATTTCCAGCCATTCTGGAGCAGCGTATTTGCTGGAGAAAAGTCACCTGAGGCATCCATTCTCCACAGGCTGGTGCCCCACACAGGGAAAGCTGGGCCCATAGGCCCTGCCCAGAGTCATGCTTCCCAGATGTTTGAATATTTAGGGCTTATACATTTTCAGAAGGAAAAACAAAAAGTAAGTTGGGCTGGCCACTTTTTAATTTCATCCAATGAGGATAAGAGAAAATAAATAATCGGTGATCAACTACTTTCACCACCATTTCACAGGAGATGTGCCATGCTCGAACTCCGAAGGTGGAGGGCATGGTTCAGAATAAAGGATAGCGTTGTGAATGGAATAAAATAATGTGATGAAAGCCCCACTTTATTTTCTTGTCTCCCAAAGGACTGGGGAAAGCGCCTCTGAGAGCAGCCCCCATGAACCACTGCAGTGGGCTCAGAACCATTGCCCTGAAGTGCGTGGTGGGACTCAGAACTTTCAGGAAGACACAGGGCCAAAAGGGCCAGACTCCTCTTTCCAAATCCTGATTAGGTGAAGTTGTTTTATTAGACATTAGATCCCCCAAGCAAAAGGATTTTGTAACTAGCAGAGAATTGCCTTGCCTTGGGGAAAATAGACTATTGCTACACCTTCCATGACTGGAAAGAGAGGAACCCAGTGTCTGCTGACCTGGAATATTTGTTCCCCAAGAATTAGCCTTTGAAGAGCTTGCTCCTCTGCCTGTTTGAGGAAGGCAGTACAATCCTCATGAGCTCTATCCAACCTTTCCTGCCAGTCCCCAGGCCTCAGATGCTCCCTAATAGCCATGCTGTGTTACCGCCTTAGAATTTCCCTTTTCTCTAGGACTGTTGTTTTTCTAAGCATTGCCTTGTACTAGTCCAGATGTTGGTGAAGTTTTTCTGTAAAGGACTGGATAGTAAATGTTTTAGGCTTTGTGGGTCACATGGTCTCTATTGCAACAACTCAGCTCTGCTGCTATTATGCAAAAGCAGCCACAGACAATATGTAAACAAATGGGTGAGGCAGTGTTTCAATAAAACTTTATTTACAAAAACAGATGGAGGGCTAGATTTGACCCACAGGCCACAGTTTGCTGACTCTTACACTTAGCCCGTATTTCAAAATGTGAAGTTTAACCCTCCCTTTCTGTTAAAGACACTGATGATGTTTGTTACCTTTACCCAGGGGTGGAAGGAGGAGGGACTGAGTTGTTCTTTTACTGATACCCTAGGGTCTGTGACTTTCCCTGTATCTTTCTTATTACTAAGACCTTGTGCCACATTTATTCTCTTTTTAAACAGAACCCCAATTTTTTTGTTATGGTGGGTTTATCTTATGAATTTTAAATAATTTCTCAAACCAGGAAATAAATTCAATGTTTTTGTTATGAGTTAAATTTATCCACCCCACCCCACATCAAACTCGTATATTGGATTTTCAACCAAAGCTGACTAACCCCCAATACTGCAGACTGTGATCTTATTTGGAAAAAGGGTTGTTGCAGATGTAATTGGTTAAGTTAAGATGAGGTCCTACTGGAGGAGTAGGGTGGGCCCTAAATAGAAAAGGGAAATTTGAACACAAACACATAGAAATGGGAGCACCACGTGAAGATTGGAGTAATGCTGACACACGCAGAGGAAATGCTCAAAGCTGGGAGAGGTCTAGAACAAACTCAGTCCTGTTCTGGCACCTTCAGAGGGGACAAAGTCCTGACGACACCTAGAGCTCAGACTTCCAGCCTCCAGAACTGTGAGAGAATAAATTTCTGATTTAAGCCACTCAGTATGCGATACGTGGCTATGGAAGCCCTAGCAAACACATATAGTTCTGTTATGAAATGGGCTGACCCAAGGTAGACTAATGATGAATCTTGACTTTCTCAATGGGTACATGTCAGTATCACCAAGATGGAAGGTTGGGCATTTGTGACCTGGGGTTGTAGATTGAAAAAGAGTTGTTGACATATTCCTGGGTTGTTCCAGCTTTAAAGGAGATGCCATTTGGGCCTTCTTGAGAAGAAAGGTTTCATTCTTGAACTCAAGCTCAGAGGCCAGACCACTTGGAAGGGCCTGCCAGCCACAGATATAAAGCTGTACCAGGTCTCCCTGGGAGAATGCAGGGCTGCAGGCCAGCGGGGGCCCCTTCCTTGTGTGTTCTGGTCATCTGGCTTCCATCAGTTCCTCTGCCCTGCTGGCTCAGGCTTTCTTCTTTAATCCTTAAGGTATTTTTTGCATCATTTAAGTGTTTCTGCTTCCTGCTGATACCAAGATACACAGAAGTTGCCCGGAATGTGGTGGAGTGAACTTAAATGTGAGTCACACAATCAAATCTTTTTTTAAAATTGAACAGATTTTTGTCTCTATCCGCTGTATGCATGTGTTCCTCACACCAGCTTTCTGCCCATACCATGGGAAGGAGAGACTCAGAGGGTCCTTCTCTGAAAACATGTACCAGGGACACACCTTTCAGGAATAAAATTCTTCCCTTTCTTTACGCCTCACTGGGCAATGTCCTGGAAACCAACAGAATTCCAAACACCGCTGTCTATTCCAAGATAAGAACACAAATGGCCCTCTGGATAGATAAGCCTGTGGAACTGATGCTTCATTGTCATTCTTCCACTGTACAAATGTCGACTGAACTTCCAACACAGACCCAACTGTTGGCACCACTATTCTGTAAGCATTCCAAAGGGTATGAGAAAAGGGTGTGTTTGCCAACATTTTCATCCCCAGTTGTAAAAGAGGCCCATAGTCCCACAGACGCTCAGCATTGATTCTTTTAGACATCACCTCGACTTAGCACAGTCCACTAGGATCTTCATAAAGGCATGTTTTGCTACAAGTTTAGCATCGTGGTTGCTATCTTATTTTGCTTTGTTAATTTTCCCATCTCCCCTTCTTCGCTTCACCAAGCTCCCTGACTCTGACACCCAACCATCTCAAGGCTTGCATGGAAGTGTGTACAGTTGCCCATTAGTGCTCTCTTGCCAATATGCTTTCTGTACCCCTGGGTCCTGCCCTGGCCATCTTCCCTTCACTAGCAACCTGCCTGAAGTTCACTGCACTTGAGCATCATTAATGGTACTTTATAATATGTTCTTATTCCTCCTTCTTCTCACCTTCCAAATGTCCCAATCCCATGACCCATTTCTGTAGACATCTGCTCCTTGGCAGCTGGGAGAAAGGAGGAGGCACCATAACAGGCAGGATGGGAATGGTTGCCACTGGCTTGGCAATTGAACAAAGATGGCAGCTGGGCTCTCTGTTTGTGTGACTTCACTTGTTCTGTGAACTGAAAGGTCTGGCAGGGTTTGTGTTGCCCACCAAGAGAGTACGAATCACTCCATCCTTTTGTGTTTTATACAGGCTTTCATCAGTGTATACATCACAATTAGACTAAACCAATTACTTATTGTCATGCCTGTCTTCCCTGTTAGGAAATGGCAATGACTTTCATTTTTCCATCAACCTAAAGGCCTTTAAAGGTCTTTGTGCCTGCTAGGTGAAAACTGGAGCAATAGAATGTTAAAGCTTTGAGAACCTCTGATACAACCTTCTCCTGTCATACAAGGAAACTGAGGCTCAGAAAGTTGGCTTGCTCAGCAGAGATGAGGGAATGTCTGCTGGCTTTGAAATCATATTTATCTGTGTTCAAAGCCTTCCTCTTCCGACAGCTGGATGACCTTGTTCAAGACATATCTTTCTTTTTTTTTTTTTTTTTTTTTTTTTTTTTGAGACGGAGTCTTGCTCTGTCACCCAAGCTGGAGCACAGTGGTGCCATCTCAGCTCATTCCAGCCTCCGCCTCCCAGGTTCAAGCGATTCTCCTGCCTCAGCCTCCCGAGTAGCTGGGATTATGGGCGTGCGCCACCATGCCCAGCTAATTTTTTTATTTTTAGTAGATACAGGGTTTCACCATGTTGACCAGGCTGGTCTTAAACTTCTGACCTCAGGTGATCTGCCCGCCTAGGCCTCCCAAAGTGCTAGGATTACAGGCGTGAGCCACTGCGCCCGGCCAAGATATATCTGTCAACCTCTGTTTTCTCATCTGTAGAAAGAGAATACTGCAGTGATAGCCACTTTGAAAGGTTGTTATAAGGAATAAACAAAATAATACCTGTTAAGTGACTAGCACAACTGTTGACACCTTAACGAATGGTAGTTCATTCACTTCCCACCAATCCTCTCCCATCCTGGGTCTATGACTCCCCCATGAATAGTGAAGAGTTCTGTGCTCTTCTCTCTATTTCATGTGGACTTCCTAATATTTAATTGCTTAAGCTAGTGGTGAGAGGTTTTGCTTTGCAGTCAGTATTTTCCAGATGGCACAGGGATTACCAGAAGGGCTACCTCCCAGTGGGCAATGGTAGTTTCCCATGTGCTCTGCACCTAGAATGAAATAACAGGATTTAGGCTGTCATAGAAAACTCAGAATCAAGTACTCCTTGCTGAGTGGCCTTTGAAAATTTTTGTCCATTTGGACATATGGATGGGAAGCAGTACAGGGCAGTGGTTCAGAACATGGACTTCAAGTCAGACAAATATGACCTCAAACCCCATCTCTGCTTTTCATTATGTGGAGTTGGACATGTTACTTAACCTCACTGTGCCTCAATTTATTTATCTGTAAAATGGGAATAACAATAATATCTTCCTTAGAGGTTGTTGTAAAAATTAAATGCAGTAGTATACACAAAGGACCTGGCATTTGGTGGGCACTCTCATGGTGGCTATCATTGGTATTACTATCATCTCCTCTGTTAGAAAGTGGCTCAGGAATCAGTGGCTTGTACTCTAAAACTCAGTGGGAAAAAGTCCCTTTAGGAAAGCTTATCCACTGCTGGTGGGAATGTAAATTAGTTTAGCCATTGTGGAAAGAAGTTTGGTGATTTCTCAAGGAACTTAAAACAGAACTATCATTTGACCCAGCAATCCCATTACTGAGTATACCCAAAGGAATATAAATCATCCTACCCTAAATACGCATTCTGTGTATGTTCATTGCAGTACTATTCACAACAGCAAAGACATGGAATCAACCTAAATGCCCATCAATGGTAGACTAGATAAAGAAAATGTGGTACATATACACCATGGGATACTATGTAGCCATAGAAAAGAATGAGATCATGTCCTCTGCAGTAACATAGATGCAGCTGGGGGCCATTATCCAAAGCAAGCTTACGCAGGAACAGAAAACCAAATACTGCATGTTTTCATTTATAAGTGGGAGTTAAATATTGAGTACACGTGTCACAAAGAAGGGAACAATAGACACCAGGGCTTACTTGAGGGTGGAAGGTAGGAGGAGGGTGAGGATCAAAAAACTATCTATCAGGTACTATGCTTATTACCTGGGTTGATGAACTAATCTGTATACCAAACTCCCCCAACATGCAATTTACCTATATAATCAATCTGCGCATGTACCCCTGAACTTAAAATAAAAGTTAAGGAAACACAAGTTCTTCCATAATGCTCTTAACTATTTGGATTTGTCACTGGTTCAGTGACCCTGAAATTAATATTTTTAAACATCATCTATAATTACTTTGAACTGTGCTGGGTATCATGATTAGAGAGAAATTTGAAACCATGATTTGTGTTCCACAAAATTGTAAAATCCATTTGGACAGAAGATAGAGGATGTTTTACTTGATGGAAGGCTAGACTCTGAGTCAGGAAAACTGGGCTCTACTCTCAACTCTGCCATTAACAAATTATGTGATATTTGGCAAACTGTCATTGGCTTTGCCTCAGTTTTCTCAGCTGTAATGTGAGGTGGTTTGAAAATTTTCCAGCAGGAACAATCATTTGTATATTCGTACAACAGATTAAATTGTTTTTGGGGCTAGAGATACAGAAGTGAGCAAAATAGACAAAGCCCTGCCCTCCTGGGGTTCCAGTGTTGAGACAGAGATAGAACATGCAAGAAAACATCTAGTGTGTCGAATGATGATCAAGGCCACAGAGAAAACGCAGCAGGGAAGGGGGACAGGAAGTACTGGTACAGATTGGGAAGTTGGCTGTCATTTTAAATAGCATGGCCAGAGAATGCCACACAGAGAAGGTAACATTTCATCCAGGCCTTAAAAGGAAGTAAGGAAACCAGCCATGTGGCTGCCTGGGGAAAATGTCTTCCAGGCTGGTGAAACAGTAAACATATGAGAGAGGGGCATGCCTGGCATGGGTGGAGGAACAGCAAAAAGGTGAGTGTGACTAGAGCGAGTGAAGGAGGGGAGAGGAGATGAAGTGAGAGAATGGATGGCAGGGAGGCCCAATCCTTCAGGGCCCGGAGGTCACTGGACAGATCCTGGCTTTTGCTCTATGGGAAATGGCTGCCATTGATGAGTTGAGTAGAGGAGCAACATGGTCTGATTATGATCTAAAGGATCTCTCTGACTACTGGGTAAAGAATAGTCTAAGATGGAACAAAGGCAGAGCAATACTCAAGATGAAGGCTGAGGTGGGAGGGCCACTCAAGCCCAGGAGTTCGAGGCTATAGTGCATTATGATCACATCTGTGAATAGCTGCTGCACCCAAGCCTGCACAGCATGACATGACCCATCTCTATTAAATAAAAAAATAGTCAAGATGAGAAATGATGGTAGCTTGGATCAAGATCCCAGCAGTGAAGGTGGTAAACAGTGGCAAGACTCAAGGTATATGTTGAAGGTAGAGTTGACAGGATTTGCTGTCGGACTGGGAGATAAGAATGAAAAGAAAAATGAATGAAGAACTCTTGGCTTGAGAAACTGCAAGGATGCAGTTGATGTTAAGATGGGAAACAGTGTAGATGCGGCAGGTTTTGGGGGAAGATCAGGAGTTTGATTTTGAGAAAGTTAACATTTCAGATGCCTGTTAGGCACTTCAGTGGGCAGCTGACATATGAGTCTAGAGTCCAGGCAAGAGCTAGATCTGGAAGACGTCAGCTTATAAATGGCATTTACAGCCGTGAGACTGGATGTAAGGCATGGTTGTAGAAACAGAAAAGAAGTCCAAACCCTGCTCCTGAGGTCTCCAGTGATAAGGATCGGGGAGGTGTGGAGAAACCAGCAAAGGTACCTGAGAAGTATTGGCCCAGGAAATACAAGGAAATCCAGGAGAGTGTGATGTCTCAGAAGCCAAGTGTGGAAAGTATTCCAGGAAATCTATAAACCTATGACAAAACAGTCTGAAGAAATGAAGAGATGGCCTTCAGAGATTCATGCGTAGGCATGGATTAGAGTCCATTGTTCCTGAGGTTCCTGAGAGCTTGGGGGCAGGGCTGGTATTAGGCTCAGAACAGGAGGAGGATCTAGGTGGAAGTTGTTTATGCAATTACCTTTCAGCCTTTTCTAAGCAGGTTATACACAAGACTGACAGACTGTAGTTGGGCAATTAAGTAGGACTCAGAGGGTAGGATAGAGTGTTGAAAGAAAAAAATTAACATTTTAGATCAAAATTCATCTCAACTACAAGCTATTAAATGTCTTTCCTGTGTTTCTTTCCATACACTTTTAATTATTTCTTGGTCAGAAACATCCTGTTGGTGAATGCCTAGAAGGGTCAGCCATTCCCCAAATTCTTTTGAAATGCTGAGTTCTAAGTTATGAAAGTTGTTTCTCTTAGAAGGGCATCTGAAGATGAAAGTCAACCTCTCCCCTGCTCAGCAGTGAATTACATTGGCCTCTCTTATTATTCCCTCATTTTTATGAAATGGAGACTCTTTCACAATGTTTAATGGGCTCTTCACATGTTATTTCACGGACCATTAACATAACTGGATAATAGAATTGATGGTTAAAATACCCTACTTATCCCATGTAAGGTGTGAATACGCCACGATTAACCCAGGACAGAAGAGGGCAAGAGCAAAGCCATCCGACACAAAGCAAGAGTGGTTCAGAAGCACAGGAAGTGGGTGCCCTGCCTGCCTGTTTGGGAGAAATAATAATGATCATAATGGCTATCATTTATGTTCTATACTCATCCCCTTTTCCAGTCTGTACACAAATTGTATGAGGCAATATTGTCCCCACTTTTTAAAAAAGTAAATTACTGAGGATCCCCTGGCCGAAGGGGTGTGCTATCAAAGGTGCCTGAATAACGACCTACTGCAGCCTAGCCCAAGTGGCACATCAAACTCACCATCATAGGTGCCCCCCAGAATTCATGTATTGAAGCCCCGACCCCCAGTACTTGATGTGTGGCTGTATTTGGAGGGAAGGCTTTTAAAGAGGTAATGAAGATTAAATGAGGCCATTAGGGTGGGGCCCTAATCCAGTAAGTCCAGTGTCCTTACAAGGAGAGAAAGAGACCCCAGGGATGCGCACACATAGAAGAAAGGCTGTGTGAGGACACAGCAAGAAGGTGGCTCTCTGCAAGCCAAGAAGAGAGGCCTCAGGAGAATGTGACCCTTCCGGCACTTTGATCTTGGACTTCCAGCCTCCAGAATGGTGAGAAAGAAATTTATGTTTAAGCCACCCCAACTGTGGTATTTGCTATAGCAGCCTTAGCATACTAAGATAGGGTGGTATCAGGTCTGCGGTAGACATATTTTGGAGCACTCTTTTTGTGAAATGGACACTCTTATCCTCTACTTAATTAGCGGTGGTGGGGAAGGTGTCATGTTTGTGCCACACGACCCTTGGCTGCCTATAGCTGTGGACCAGGGGTATATGGCAGGCTCCTGGCAATCAGATCTCTGTCCTGGGAGTTTATAATTGGAAGACTGAGAAATGGAGTCAGTTAGACAATGAAGGTCAAGGCAGTGGTGATGCCACAGAGTCCTGAGGCCATGGGGGTCTGTGGGTGAGCAGAAAAACTTGGCCTTCCATTGGAGAGAGCAAGGGATATGTGGAAAGAGAGAGGGACTCTGTAGTCTCAGAATCAGAGAGATGAAAGAGAAGCCACCTGGTGATGTCTGAGTCCTGTGAGACCCTGCTTTGCTTCCTGCCCTTGGATTCTGGGAGCATCTCTGTATCCTTCCAATAAGTCTTCAACTCTGCCTAGTCTGAGTGGATTTCTCTTCCTTGTGATCAAACCGAATCAGACACCAAGCTCAGGCTCTTTCCATGTGTATAGTGTGCTAGGCCCATCTAAGGCAATCCCTCACGGCCCAGCAGCACTCCTGAACATTCAGGATCTTTCTCCTTCAGTACAGCTTTATTAATTCTACAAAAGCATGTTAGATGCTGTGTTGGTCAGGGTTCTCCAGAGAAACAGAACCAGGAGATCATATATACAAAGAGACTGATTTGAAGGAATTGGCTTATGTGATTGTGGGGGTTGGCAAGTCCAAAATCATGAAGGAAGCCAACGACAGGTTGGAATCTCTGAGGCAGGTGGTTTGATGTAAATTAAGGATAGGAGTTGACAAATGTTTTCTGTAAAGGGCCAGACTGTAATTATATTAGTCTCTGTGGGTCATTGTTTCTGTTGCAACCACTTAACTCTGCCATTGTATTGTGAAAGCAACCACAGACATTATGTAACTAAATGGGCATGGCTGTGTTCCAACAAAACTTTATAAATACTGGATTAGGGATTTCACATAATTTTTTAGTGTGTTAAAATATTATTTTAAATCTTTTTGATCATTTAAAACTTAAGAAACTTACTAGCTCACAGGCAGTAGAAAAATAGGGTGGGTAGTTTGGCTCACAGGCTCATAGTTTACTGACCCCTAATTTAGAACAATAATTAAAATATTGCAGTTAAAGAAGATTCACATCAAAACTTCTATGTTGTTCAAAAAGACAATGATTGAGTAAATTGAAGTACAATCACTTCTAAAAATTTTTGCAATTAAAGTAATATAAAGACTATATAGCAATATTGAAATGCTGTGATAAATTGCAAGTGGAAAAAGCAGACTCCAAAATTACGTCTACTCTGATTTTAACTATGTTGCATGAATCTTGAATAAACTATGTGCAAATTATGTATGCACAAGGATTGAAAGGGAAAAATGAAAGCTGTTTGATTTGAATGAAGCTGGGACTGTGGGTAATTTGTTTTTGCTTAAATGGGAGTATCGAGTTTCCTTCTAATTCTCAGGTTCTATGATGCCATTACCATGGACATTTAGTTTAAATAATTTATTAGGCCATCCCCCTTTGCAGATAAGGAAGGAAGAGGACGTAATTTAGATTGGTCAGAGATCAGAGTTTCAAGTAGTGTTCCAGTTAACCATTGCTGAGTAACAAACAACCCTACACTTAGTGGCCTCAAACAACCACCGTTTTATTAAGTTTATGGATTCTGTGGGTGAGAAATTCAATCAGGGCACAGTAGCCATGGCTTGCCTCCACCGTAAGATGTCTGTGGCTTCAGCTGGGAAGACCTGAATGGCTGCAGGGGACTCAAATGTCTGGGTTCTGCAGCATGCTCTTCTGAGATAACATCTTCATTTGCACTGGAATCTGGGCAGGAATCACTCCTAGGACGGTGAGTTAGTTTCCTAAGGCTTTCATAATGAAGTACCACAAACTGGATGGCTTAAAACAACAGAAATTTATTGTCCACAGTTCTGGAAGCTGGAAGTCTAAGATGAAAGTGTTGGCAAAGTTGATTTCTTCTGAGGTCAGGAAGGAACAGTCTGTTTCATGCCTCTTTTCTATCTCCTGGTCATTGGCTGGCAACGTTTGGCATTCCTTGGCTTATGGAGGAGTCACCCTGATCTCTGCCTTCATTTCCACACGATGTTCTTTCTCTGTGTGTGTGTTGTCTCTGTGCCCACATCCTCTTTTTTCATAAGGACACCCATCATTTTGGATTAGGGCCCACCCTAATGACCTTATCCTCACCTGATCATCTGCAAAACCCTGTTTCCGAATAAGGTCACATTCACAGATACTGGGGATTAGGTCTTTAACATTTCTGCGGAGACGCAGTTCAACCCATAGAAGCTGAGCTCAGCTGGGACTGCCTACACAGTGCCTCCATATAGCCTCTACATTACTGGGCGAAATTCACCCCCGATATTTCACATAGGTTCTTATCTATTTTCCTTAAGTGTCGGCTGGTCTGAGAAATAAAGGGAAAGAGTACAAAAGAGAGAAATTTTAAAGCTGGGTGTCTGGGGGAGACATCACACATCAGCAGGTTCCATGATGCCCCCTGAGCCATAAAACCAGCAAGTTTTTATTAGTGATTTTCAAAAGGGGAGGGAGTGTACGAATAGGGTGTGGATCACAGAGATCACATGCTTCACAAGGTAATAAGATATCACAAGGTAAATGGAGGCAGGGCGAGATCACAGGACCACAGGACCGGGGTGAAATTAAAATTACTAATGAAGTTTCAGGCAGGCATTTTCACTGATAACATCTCATCAGGAAACAGGGTTTGAGAGCAGACAACCGGTCTGACCAAAATTTATTAGGCAGGAATTTCCTCATCCTAATAAGCCTGGGAGTGCTATGGGAGACCGGGGCTTATTTCATCCCACTGCGATGACCGTAAAAGACAGCCACCCCCAAAGCGGCCATTTTAGAGGCCTCCCCTCAGGGACACATTCTCTTTCTCAGGGATGTTCCTGGCTGAGAAAAAGAATTCAGCAATATTTCTCCCATTTGCTTTTGAAAGAAGAGAAATATGGCTCTGTTTCACCCAGCTCACTGGCAGTCAGAGTTTAAGGTTATCTCTTTTGTTCCCTGAACATTGCTGTTATCCTGTTCTTTTTTCAAGGTGCCCAGATTTCATATTTTTCAAACACACATGCTGTACAAACAATTTGTGTAGTTAACGCAATCATCACAGGGTCCTCAGGTGACATACATCCTCCTCAGCTTACGAAGATGATGGGATTAAGAGATTAAAGTAAAGACAGGCATAGGAAATCACAAGGGTATTGATTGGTGAAGTGATAAGTGTCCATGAAATCTTCACAATTTTTGTTCGGAGATTGCAGTAAAGACAGGCATAAGAAATTATAAAAGTATTAATTTGGGGAACTAATAAATGTCCATGAAATCTTCACAATTTATGTTCTTCTGCCATGGCTTCAGCCAGTCCCTCTGTTCAGGGTTCCTGACTTCCCGCAACACTCCATCTGGCATGGAGCTGAGTTCTGAGAGGGAGTATCCCTGAAGCGAGCCTAAGTGAATCAGGTAGAAGCTGCATGGACTTTTATGCACTAGCTTTGGAAGCCATGGTCTATTGGTAGAAGCAGTCACAAGCTTGCCCAAATTCAAGATGAGGGGCATAGAATTTATCTTTGAATGAGAGGAGTATCAAATAATTTGCCACCACTGTTTTTAAAAAGTGGACTTCGGCCAGGTGCAGTGGCTCACCCTGTAATCCCAGCACTTTGGGAGGCTGAGGTGGGAGGATCACTTGAGCCTAGGAGTTTGAAACCAGCCTGGTCAAAATAGCGAGGCCCTGTATCTTAAAACAAAACAAAACAAAACAAAAACCAGACTTCATTATACATATACATATGTATGTGTGTGTGTGTGTGTTTGTATATATGTATATATCTATATATATATATATTTTTTTTTTTTGAGACTGGGTCTCGCTCTGTCACCCAGGCTAGAGTACAGTGGCACCATCACTGTACTCTTACTGCAGCCTTAAACTCCTGAGCTTAAATGATCCTGATCCTCTCACCCCAGCCTCCCAAGTAGCTGGGTCTATAGTATAGGTGTGCACCACACACCCGGCTAAGTTTAAAAAAATTTTTTTTGTAAGAGATAAAGTCTCACCTTCTCACTTTGTTGCCCAGGCTGGTCTCAAACTCCTGAGCTTAAGTGATCCTCCCGCTTTGACCTCCCAAAGTGCTGAGATTACAGGTGTGAGCTGACATGCCTGGCTGATTTCATTTTTTAGAGCAGTGGTTGGTGCACAGCAAAACTGAGAGGAAGGTACAGAGGTTTCCCATATAATTCCTGCCCCTACAAATGCACAGCCTCCCCTATTATTAACATCCCCCACCAGAATGGTGCATTTGTTACAATTGATGAACTGACGCTGATGCATCATCACCCAAAGTCTACAGTTGACATCAGCGTTCACTGTTGATGTTGTACATTTCATGGGAATGCATAATGACATGTATCCACCATTATAGTTTCAGTGCCCTAAAAATTCCTCTGCAGACATTTTTAAAAACCACCTCATGTAGCAATGTTTAACCTAGGGTTTATGGACCCACTGGGAATCCATACATGGCTTCCAAAGCATCTGAGAAACTATGGGAGTTATGCAATGTGTTGTATGAGTCCAGGTTCTTTTTTCTGCAGCATTGGTCCGTAGTTCAAAAGGGGTTATGACCTATAAATGATGAGGAAGTACAGGTATATTAGGCCAATTTGCTTCTTCCAAACAGATCAGGGCATGCTTCCCATTCTCTAACTCAGAGAAAATGTTTTCTATCTCTGGCTTGGCATCAGAGACAGCCTTTCTCCTTCCCCGAGGCAGCCTCTGCCATCTGCCAAATGGTGTTGTTCTGTGACCCCAGTGTCCTTGAAGCCATCCGGAAGTCTTAGAGGGAGGTCCCTAGTGGTCCCAGCATGCTCTAACTCCTCAGGGGACAGGACTGGAACTGAAAAGCAGCCTGTTTCCCACTCTCCCTAGAGCTGAAGGCTCTGTGAGGATGGGCTCTGTGAGCCCAACCATCCCACAGCAGAACTAGGAGCCCATGGAAGGGTTGGCTTGTCCCACCATACTCAGCCCCTTCCAATTCCCCTTCCAACCTTATTCATGCTTCTGTGTTATTTGGGTACCTGCTTATCTCCTCTACTAACTAATAAAATTTTGAGAACAACGACCTGTCATTTTTCTGTATATTAAACAGTATTTAGCACCACGTTTTGCATATAATTCTCAAAATGGTTGGTAATTTTAAAACATCAAAGCTGAGTTGCAGAAAGTTAGAACAGGTCTCCAACGGCTCTGATGGCAGCTTTGGTCACAAGGATGCTGGTTATTTATGTGGTTAGAACCAGGCCCTCAAGAGCTCACTGTGCTAGGAGGGTCTTATCTGGGGAAAGCCAGAGTAGGCCAAAAATAAGAAGGGGATTTGAGAGGGGGAATTTGAGGAGAGAAACTTAGAGCTAGCCTGGGTTCTAATCCCAGCTCTACCACCAACAATCTGTGGGACAGGACACCAGTCAAGGCATGTCTGTATGGCATAGTAGAGTTGGAATGTGAAGCTTGGCTCTCCCATGTATTAGCTGTGAGAGAGGCAGCAGCTTCATGTCCTAGCTCCCTCCTCTTCTTATTATCTGTGTGACCTTGGGCATTAATAAGTCTCCAAAGCCTCAGCTACCTCTCTCCTAAAATACCTGTTCTAGTGATCCTGCTGCTCTGGGTTGAAACTCAGGTGATCCCAAGATGCTGGCTTACCAATCTTCTCTCATGGACCCTGACACCAAACTCACTGGAAACATGGCACTGTTACCCATCAGAAGCCAATTCAAAGGACCTGCCCCCAGAGAGACAAAAGATACAGATATTGTGGATGAAGCCATCTGTTACTTCAAGGCCAATGTCTTCTTCAAAAACTATGAAATTAAGAATGAAGCTGATAGGACCTTGATATATATAACTCTCTACATTTCTGAGTGTTCGAAGAAACTCCAAAAGTACAATTCCAAAATCCAAGGTGAGAAAGAAATGTATACATTGGGAATCACGAATTTTCCTATTCCTGGAGAGCCTCATTTTCCACTTAACGCAATTATGCCAAACCTGCGAACAAACAGGAAGATGAAGTGATGAGAGCCTATTTACAACAGCTAAGGAGAAAGACTGGACTGAGACTTTGTGAGAAAGTTTTTGACCCTCAGAATGATAAACCCAGCAAGTGGTGGGCTTGCTTTGTGAAGAGACAGTTCATGAACAAGAGTCTTTCAGGACCTGGACAGTGAAGGGAGCCTGGGCAGCCACCATCTCCAGAGCCCTGGGCAGCATTTTCCATTAAGATGTACACAATCTTTTGCCTTTATCTCATAAAGTTTTATACAGAAGAGAGAAGAGCATGTCTTCACTTGAAAAACTATTGATCAAGAATTCGGGTGGGGGAAAAGAAAGTGAGGTATCAAAGGTGATCTGAAATTTTCTACAGCATTAAGCTGGTGCTTAATAAGAATAAGTAATAATAAAGAGATTTCTAACATTAAAAAAATACCTATTCCAGAGATTACTAGTGTCTGCCAAGTGCCCTCCATGGGATAGGTACTGTTGTAAGTGCTTTATATGTACTCACTCTTTTGGTCTTTTTAACAATCCTGCAAACTAGGTAGTATTATTATCCCATTTCCAATAACTCAACTGAAGCACATGGGGGTAACTCTCCTACAGTTACCCCACTGTCAAGGGGGTATAGCTGGGATTTGAACCAGGCAGTCTAGCTCCCTGAGTCTGCTTCCTTAACCACCACATTACCACACAGTGACCTGACACAATGCACTGAAATTGCTTAGCATGCAGTAAGAGCTCAACAAATGTCAGTTGCTCGTGATGGTCATTCTGAATCTCCCAGCCTCATTTTCAAGGTGGAGATGATACTACCCAATTCATGGGTAGAGATAACACAGATAAAGCACTGAACAGTACACATAAGACTGGATGCCTGGGTTTGGTTTTTTTTTTTTTTGGTTTTGGCCACATGGCAAGCAGATCGGCTATTTATTTGCACCTATGACACCGACTTAGGGGTTCAACATGCTCTTGTTTGTTGCCGAGTCTGTATTGCTTGGTGTTTTCTAGCTTGCCTAGTGCTTTGCTCATAGCAGATGCTAAAAAATATGGTTCATTTATTTTCCTCAAATCTATAGAATTCCCACCATTCTTGTGTAGGCTACTTTGGAAGGCGGTGTGGGAGAAAGGGTACTTAGGTGCTGAGACAGAACTAATAATTGATCCCACTCCTGATTTCAGTCAGTCCCTATGCCAGGAAAAACTCACTCCTCTCCTTGTGCAATGTATAAGCCTCCCAGAAACTCACTTAAAGGCAATTTCTACTTAATTTGTGCTTTGGGTGTTACAAACACAAGCTTGTAACAGGTCTCCCCTTGTTAATACATGACAGCTATTGCCCTGTTCTTACCATGCCTATGCAGATCAATCCTGTCTGTCTTGGACTTCTGATTGCTACAGGCTGGGGACCATGTCTGTTTGACTTACTATCAATGGCACAATGCCAAGTACCAAGTACCAGGTTCAAAAAATGTTTATTTGCTGATTCAGCAGTTGTATATCCTGTTGGAGGTAGATTCTAGCCTTGGTCATGCACTACCTTGATTTCTGACTCTGTGGCAAGATTCGTGTATCATGCTCTACTAGGTCTTCTCACCTTCATTTTTGTTATTTGGTGGGCAGAGCCTGTGTGCTGAAAAGGGGAAGTGGTTGTGAGTGTGCTGGAGAAAGAGGACCTGGTTCAGCAGATTTTTAGTAATGGGCTTAATCAGGGAGGGCACCTATTATTTACTAAGTACTTACTATGTCAGGCATCAGGTTAGGAGTTCTCCAAATGGATATAAATAAACAGAAAACTTTTGGTGCACCAGTGGTTTGTGGGAGACATTTGGGGGAGCATTCACTGCCTGCTCCTCATATTCCCAGGACTACGACTAGATCAGCAAGTTATTACAGCCCTCACTTCTTGTCTCTCTCCTTATCCATTTCTCCCCAGGAGGAGAAATGAGTTAACGGCTTGTGTCCATGATTTTCAGTGTATGTTGAATAACAGCAACTCAAACATATTAAGTCCTAATCGTTGGCATTTATAAATGTTACCTTATTTGGGAAAGAGCTCTTTGCAGTGTGATTAAGGATTCCGAGATAAAGAGGTATTATTTGTCTGTTAGGACTTCTGTAACAAAATACCACAGACTGTGGGACTTAAACAACAGAAATTTATTTTCTCATAGTTCTAGAGGCTGGATGTCCAAGATCAAGGGGCTGACAAGGCTGGTTTCTCTGAAGACCTCTCTTTGACTTGCAGATAGCTGCATTCTTGCTGTGTCCTCACATGACCATTCCTCTGTGTATGGGCACCCCTACTGTCTCTTCTTCTTATAAGGATACCAGTCCTGTTGAAGTAGGGCCCCACCCACATAACCTCATTTAACCTTAGTTACCTTTTAAAATGCCTTATCTCCAAATATAGTCAGACGGTGGGTCGGGGGTGGTCAGGGCTTTCACATGAATTTTGGGGGACAGAATTCACTCCGTAACAGGTTACTTTGGATCATCCAGGTGGGCCCTAAACCTCATTGCAAGCACCCTTATAAAAGAGAGGCAGAGGGAGATTTGAGACACACACAGAGAGAAGACACACAGAAGGCAGTGTGGCTACACAGGCAGGGACTGGGGTGATGTAACCGTAAGCCAAAGAATGCTGGCAGCCACTAGATGCTGAACAAGGAAGTGTGGTCCTGCTAACATCTTGATTTTGGACTTCTGGCTATCAGAGCTATGAGGGAATAAGTTCCTCTTTCTATCAGGCACCCAGTTTTGTTACAGCAGCCCCCCAAAATGAACACAATTGAATGGTGCTGTTCAAAGACTGAAACCTAACACCTGGAGCGTTGACTTTTTCCTGTCTCTCTCTGTCCAGGATGAAGCAGTAATGCTGGGTAAAAGTGTCAGCTCTGCAGACCAGAGTTTTCTTTCATGTGGAGTGTCCCAGAGTCTAGACTGGGGAGCAGAGTCAGGAAGCAGTATGGCTGAAGTATTCACAGGCCTGCTTGGTCACTTATACCACAGCCATATCCTCTAACCTGGAATTCATTAGGATGAAGCTCAAATTTTGATCTCCACCTATCGGATCCTCTCTATCTCTCTATCAGTTCTTGCTACGGTCTGAATGTTTGTGTCCCTCCCCTCCAAGTTCATAGGTCAAATCATAATCCCCAGTGTCATGCTTTAGGAGGTGGGGCTCTTGGGAAGTGATTAGGTCAGGGAGGAAGATTACTCATGAATGGGACTTGTGCCCTTATAAAAAAGGTGCCAGAGACATCCCTTGCCCTTTCTACCATGTTAGTTCATAGTGAGAAAATGGCCATCAATGAACCGAGAAGTGGCCCTTACCATGTAACACATCTGCCTTGCTCTTGGACTTCCCAGCCTCCAAAACTGTAAGAAATCAATTTCTGTTGTTTGCAAGCTACTTGGTGTATGGTATTTTGTTAGAGCAGCACAAGCAGACTAAGACAGTTCTGAATTGGGATTCTGAAGAGAGGGGTGTTATTTATTAATCCCCTTAAAACCCCAAGAGAATGCATGGGAAATATATCTGTGGACTGGTTGGAGAGAAAAAAAAATTTGTAAACAGGATGTGATCTGTCAGGATCCTCCTGAAAGAAAAGTCAGGGGTGGAAATTAGTAAGGCAAACCAGGGTCAGAGCTTCCCAAGACCATGGGAACCTACCTCTTGCATCAGCGTGACCTGGATGCGAAACATGGAATCAAAGAAGATCATTTTGGAGCTTTAAGATTTGACCACCCTGCTGGATTCGGACTTGCATGGTGCCTATAGGCCCTTTGTTTTGGCCAATTTCTCCCATATGGAATGGCTGTATTTACCCAATGCCTTTACCCCCATTGTGTCTAGGAAGTAACTAACTTGCTTTTGAGTTAATGCTGAAATGAGTTAAGACTTTGGGGGACTGTTGGGAAGGCAGGACTGGTTTTTAAAATGTGAGGACATGAGGTTGGTGGAATGATATGGTTTGGCTATGTCCCCACCCAGATCTCACCTGGAATTCCCACGTGTTGTGGAAGGGACCTGGTGGGAGGTAATTGAATGATGGGGGCAGGTCTTTCCCGTGCTGTTCTCGTGATAGTAAGTATCACGAGATCCAGTGGTGATTATAAGGGTGAGTTTTCCTGCACAAGCTTTCTTCTATTGTCTGCTGCCATGTGAGATGTGCCTTTCCCCTTCCACCATGACTGTGAGGCCTCCCCAGCCACATGGAAGTATAAGTCCAATAAACCTCCTTCTTTTGTTTAAAAAGAAAAAAGAAAAGAAAAGAAATTAGTAAGGCAAGTTCTGACACAAGACTGCCTGGATTCAGATCTGAGCTCAGACCTTCCCAGCTGCATGACTGTGAGCAAATCAGTTTTTTCTCCCCTACTCAGTTTTCCCATCTGTAAAATAGGGCCAAATAGGAGCCCCTCTCTCCTAGATTAAATAAATGTATGGATTAAATAAATATATGCATATAAAGCACTTAGGACAGCTTACACAGAGGCACATAATAAGCCCCCAATAGATGTGAGCTATTATTCTCTAGAAAAATAGTTGAGAGAAAGGGAGAAAAAGAAGTTGCCTATAGATGCAGACATAAACTCTCTTTCTCTAGATGACTGTGGGTAAAATTCAGCAGCATTTAAATGTCTGGTCTGACCCACTGTTGAGATAACCAGTAAAAACTCAAGGCCTCAGGAGGGTGGGGGAAAAGGGAGTTGCAGGTGTTTGCAGGAGGAAGCCATCATTTCAGCCAATAACGGACTTGGTGCATCATGGGCATCTGGCAGCACAGCAAAGGCGCTTTGGCAGCTTCATGTACGGTACAAGTGAGTGAATTACTGTTATGCTAATTAAACTTTTTAATACAGCATCAGGAAAGAGTCTGATCCCTTCATTTCTAATATCTTGGAAATGCAGGGAAGGAGGAGAGGGTCATTGATTCATTAATTCAACACATGTTCATTGAGTTCCTGCTGTGTGCCAGGCACTATTCCAGCCCCTGGAGACATGAGAGTAAATGAAGAAAAGTCCTGGATTCATGGCTTCTATTATAGTGATAGGAGAGAGACAATAAACAAATAAACATGTGAAACATAAATATAACAGTCAGGGCTGGGCGCAGTGGCTCACGCCTGTAATCCCAGCACTTTGGGAGGCTGAGGCAGGCGAATCACAAGGTCAGGAGAGCAAGACCATCCTGGCCAACATGGTGAAATCCCGTCTCTACTAAAAATACAAAAATTAGCCAGGTGTGGTGGTGCACACCTGTAATCCCAGCTACTCGGGAGGCTGAGCCAGGAGAATCACTTAAACCCAGGAGGCAGAGGTTGTAGTGAGCCAAGATCACGCCACTGCACTCCAGCCTGGTGACAGAGCAAGATTCCATCTCAAAAAAAAAAAAAAAAAAAATTACAGTCAGATAATGACATGGGCTATGGAGAAAAATGAAATAGATAAATGAGGAATGAGGAGAGGGTAAGAATGAGATGGTTTTAAATAGAGTGGTAAGTTCCCCAGTGCTGCTAAAACAAATGACCATAAACATAGTCCTTAAACAACAAAAATTTATTTTTATCTTTCTGTTCTAGAGGTCAGAAGTCCTAAAATAAAGGTATCGGCAGGACTGTGTTCCTTTTGGAAGGTTTAGGGGAGAATCCACTTCCTTGACTTTTTCAGCTCGTGAGGCCGCCCCCATCCCTTGGCTCATAGCCCCTTCCTGTATCTTCCAAGCCAGCAGTGTGGCAGATTCATATTTCTCTCTGATGCTCTTTCCACCATCATATCTCCTTCTCTGACTCTGTCTCCTGCCTCCCTCCTATAAAGACTCATGAGTACAATGGGCACACCTGGATTATCCAGGATCATCTCTCATCTCAAGATCCTCAGCTTAATTATGACTGTAAAGTGTCTCTGCCATGTAAGGTAGCAGGTTCTGGGAATTAGGACATGGATATCATTGGAAGGCCATTATTCTACCTACCATGATAGTCAGAAAAGACCCCAGTGAGAAGGTGACATTGAGAGAAGCAAGGATGTATGCCATGCAGTTAGCTAGGGAAGAGCACACCAGGCCACAAATGAGAGGCAGGTCTGGAGTGTTTGAGGAACAGAAAGGGCCTGATGAGCTGCAGAGGAGGGAGGAGGGGAGAGTAGCAGGTGCTGAGGTCAGAGGTAAAGGGGGACCAAATTCCACAGGCCCTTATAGGTCACTTTGAGATCTTCTCTGCCAACCCCACCCTGTTTGTGAAAGACTGAAACAGACTATGGTCTCATTTGGTTTTCACAGTGGTGTGACATCCTCAGTTTATGCTTGCTGAGTAAGGCCTGAGGCCTTGCCTCACCTACCCAGGCATTAAGGGATAGAGCTGGGTGTTTTTGGCCGTTCTTGTGTCACTATAAAGAAACACCTGAGGCCAGGCACGGTGGTTTATGCCTATAATCCCAGCACTTTGCAAGGCCGAGGCGGGCAGATTGCCTGAGCTCAGGAGTTCAAGACCAGCCGGACAACACGGTGAAACCTCGTCTCTACTAAAATACAAAAAGTTAGCTGGGTGTGGCGGCATGAACCTGTAATCCCAGCTACTCAGGAGGTCAAAGCAGGAGAATTGCTTGAACCCGGGAAGCGGAGGTTGCAGTGAGCCAAGATCAAGCCACTGCACTCCAGCCTGGGCGACAGAGCGAGACTTTGTCTCCAAAAAAAGAAAGAAATACCTGAGACTGGGTAATTTGTAAAGAAAAGAGGTTTACACTGGGAAGACAATGTAGTGATTCCTTAAGGATCTAGATCCAGAAATACCATTTGACCCAGCAACCCTATTATTTGGTGTATACCCAAAGGATTATAAATCAGTCTACTATAAAGACACGTGCACACATATGTTTATTGCAGCACTATTTACAATAGCAAAGACTTGGAACCAACCCAAATGCCCATCAATGATAGACTGGATAAAGAAAATGTGGCACATATACACCATGGAATACTATGCAGCCATAAAAAAAGATGAGTTCATGTTCTTTGCAGGGACATGGATGAAGCTGGAAGCCATCATCCTCAGCAAACTAACACAGGAACAGAAACCAAACACCGCATGTTCTCACTCATAAGTGGGAGTTGAACAATGAGAACACATGGACACAGGGAGGGGAACATCACATACCAGGGCCTGTCGTGGGGTTGGGGGCAAGGGAAGGGAGAGCATTAGGGCAAATACCTAACGGATGTGAGGCTTAAAACCTATGACGGGTTGATAG
Organism: Homo sapiens; assembly: GCF_000001405.40. NCBI lineage: Eukaryota > Metazoa > Chordata > Mammalia > Primates > Hominidae > Homo > Homo sapiens. The sequence continues at coordinate 15,942,400 of NC_000006.12, forward strand.
GTGCAGTAAACCACCATGGCACATGTATACCTATGTAACAAACATGCACATTCAGCACATGTATCCCAGAACTTATTGTAAAATTTTAAAAGAAAGGATAAAGTTTAAAAAGAAAAAGAAAGAAAAGAGGTTTAACGGGCTTACAGTTCTGCAGGCTGTACCAACATGGCTCCAGCATCTGCTTCTGGTGAGAGCCTCGGGGGGCTCACAATCATGGCAGAAGGTGAAGCAGGAGCAGGCGCAAGAGCATGAGGGAGGAGCTGCCACACACTTTTAAACAACCTGGTCTTGTGAGAACTTTCTCAATATCATGAGAACAGCGAGGGACAAATCCGCCCCCATGATCCAATCACTTCCCACCAGGGCCCTCTTGCAACACTGGAAATCACATTTCAACCCGAGATTTGGAGGGGACAAGCATCCAAACCATATAATTGCATTTCAAACCCACAGCCCATCTGACTCCAAACCTGCCCTGGACTTCTGAGTAGGGTCTCTCTGATCAAGTGCTTTAGCTCCTGGTTTCAAGGATACATCCTCTCTGAAGGCTTCCCTTCCCTTCCCAACACTAGGTTAGGTGTCCTGCCCATGTGCACTTACACTGATCACCTTCCATACTCATTCCAAGGAGACCCCTTTTCATACTGTATTATAATTCCTGGATTTAGGGTCTGTGTCTCACCTTTAAGCCTAGATCATGTTCTATTTATCAATGGATACTTACAGTAGAGTTTAGAGTAAATAATCAGTAACTGTTTGTAAATGAATTGATGAAATTAAGAGTAAATGCATGAGTAAATGACCTTACCTTAGCAAATTAATAGGTGAGTCCCAGAAAACTAAAGGCTCATAAAATAGCACCTAACCTTAAAAGGACACACCTTTTAACTCAAGGTGTTTAGAAGAAATGCATGACAGTTCTGCTTATGGCACAAAGTTCCCTGCTATAAGAAGTGGAGCAGGGAAGTCATTAAGGATCAAGAAGTCCCTTCCTAGCTGCAGGAAGCAGCCCTCTTAGCCATGAGGAGCATCCATCATAGATCATATTAATAAGCATAAAAGCAGGAGAGGAGAATTGCTCCTTTGGAATCCTTTAGCTCCTGTGCTTGCTTTCACCTCCTGGAGCAACATCCAGCCCAAAAGATTGGATTAAGAAGAGATTAACAAGCAATAGGCAGTGATTCCACGCAGGAGGCTGATGAACACCATGAGGACATCTCAGGATCCCTCCCTCCAGGCATCCCGTGGCCCACACGTCTGTCTGTGTGTGTCTGGTGCTGATGAGGTACTGTTTTGATCATGACGTAAAAGTAAGAATGTTTGGAATAAAGTTGTCATTTTCTTCTGAAGCCTGTTCACAGCCTGTTTATTCCTCCAGGGACATTCTGAGTCTGATTCCAACAATATGCTTTGAGATTATTAAAAGACTTCCCAAAAAACACTGTCAGAGAGAAACTGCCACCATAGTACATAGCTGTCTGGGGCTGGAGGAATCCTGGCTCTAAGCAAAATCTTGGGATATGGAGCACAAGTTTCAGATGAAAACAGCTTCTGGGAGGAAGGAGAGCATTTTATAGCAGAAGCATTAAATTAATCCTCACTCATACAGTGCAAATTTTGACACAAAAATCCCTGGTTTCCAGGGGAGCAGGGCCAACAGGAGGGCGCTGTAGGTTTCCACTAGGCTGCAAGGAAATGGATATTAAATAAGAAGGAGTGGGAGTTGGGGAGAGAAAAGAGGCCAAGTAGAGTGGAAAAGGAAAGAGCATAAGGGCCGGGTTTGGTGGCTCCCGCTTATAATCCCAGCACTTTGGGAGGCCAAGTTGGGCGGATCACTTGAGCTCAGGAGTTTGAGAACAGCCTGGGCAACACGCCGAAACCCGTTCTCTACAAAATTTATCCAAGCATAGTGGCATATGCCTGTGGTCCCAGCTACTCGGGAGGCTGAGATGGGAGGATTGCTTGAGCCCAGGAGGTTGAGGCTGCAATGAGCTGTGATCATGCCACCGTACTGCAGCCTGGGTGACGGAGTGAGACCAAAGAAAGGAAGGAAAGGAAGGAAGGAAGGAAGAAAGAAAGAAAATATGTGCATTTCTAAGAGGCAACTTTATCTTGGGAAATTAACTTCACATAGCAAGGATGCAGTCTGACTCACAGTGTGAAATGCTGCACTTCTCTTGCTAAGCTACTGCTTACAACCACACGGAAAGAAACCTTGCAGATTAGCAGATGTAGATGGAGTTGTTTGGCTAGAAAAGGGCGAAATCTTTTGCCACAATAACCATAATATTTACTCTGTGCCAGGTACCCCGTTAGGCTCTGGGGTTGCACGTGGCTATCAGTGAGACTTAGTCTCTGTCTGCACGGAGGGCACATGTTAAACGAGTCCTTGAGGTTCAAAACCTCAGAGAAGTGTTATACTCATATTTATTTTTCCGAAGATTTCTCTGGCTATGTTGTGGAGAATGCATTAGAAAAGGACAAAGATGGATACAGAAAGACTGCTTAAGAGGCTGTTATTGTCATTCAGGTGAGAGATGATGGAGGTGTGGAAGAGATAAATGATAAAGAATCAAAAGATATTTAGGTATGGAACTGGCGTGACCTGGGTATGCATCTGAGAATAGAGCAGGGGCATCACTTCCAGTTTCAGACTTGACCAACTGGTGGAGGGGTGCACTCTACAGAAATAGAGGATGTTAGGAGAGAAGGTATCTGTTGGGGAAACCAAGAGTTCTTAGATGTTGTGAGGGACACTGCAGATTGGCTCACTTGACCTCTATTCTATGCTCCTTCTCATGGTCCATCTCATATTATAGAGTCTAGAAAGCCAAAACAACATTCCCCACACTCTCTTATAATTCAGGATTCAAATGTGGTTCAGGTCATCAATCAGCTACACTTGCATGAGTCTTGAATCCAGAAGTGAGTCAGGTGGAGAAAGAGGCAGCAGAGCCTGGAGCATCCATTCTGCTGATGCAAATCTAGTGAGTTAAATGACTCTGGGTCCAACACTTCAGGCTATAGCCGCCTGACATCTGCATCAGAGCTAGGCCCACATTTGGAACAGCAGGTTTCTAATTCCTTAGCTTCCTGCCTGTGGCAAAGCTAGAACTTCCCCTAGAGGGTTAATTCTGCAGTGGTATCCTGGGTGCCATTCCTGGAAGCCTAGGGCCTTCTTTAGTCCTTCCTACAACTTCTAAGCACACAATTTCCTGTAGAAGCCCCTTTCTGCTTACAATGTCTAGAATGCATTATGCTCTCAGCAACAGAAAATTAACCAATATGAAAGTAGTGAGTTTGTAGAGCCTGCAAGAAATGCAGGTGCAAATACACGCATGGCACTCAGATGATATAGGTCTGGGGTTAAGGAGAGAGGACTGGGCTGGCAATTTATGAGTAATGTTAGCATGCGGATATAGGATGAGATCATCCTGGGAGATATTGCCAAGAAAGAATTTGAAGGTTGAGAGGAAAGGAGGCCCTGGGACAAAAGCTTTGGAAACACCAGTTTTTGAGAGCTGGCTAGAAATGCAAGCTGGCCACCATAGGAAGAGGGACAGAAGGTAGGAAGAAACCAGGAGGTGCTGGTGTTATAGAAACCAGAGGTAGAAAGTGGTCCTTTAAGAATGGATTAACCTGGCAAGTGCTGCTAGGAGGTCAGGCAAACTGAGGACTGAATGTGCCTGTGGAGTCTGGTCTTTGGTAACCTTGGAAAGAGCAGGTTTGGTTGCAGTGATGACAACAGGGTCAGATTATGGAGATCCAGGGGTGAGGGAGAGATAAGAAAATAGATACCATGAGAGGAGGCAGTCTTAAAAGAGGCTTAACCATCTCTGGAAGTGACGAAGGATTAAGGAGGAGAGTTTATAAAGAATCTTTAGTCAAGCTAAGCCACTCCTCATCATGAAACGTTAGTGAGGTGTTATGTGAGGTAGTATTGCATATTTTACCTAAATGATGAATTTTTGCATTTTTTTTTTTTTTTAGACAGATTCTCGCTCTGTCATCCAGGACATCCAGGCTGGAGTGCAGTGGTGCTATCATGATTCACTGGCACCTCTGCCTCTGGGCTCAAGTGATCCTAGCACCTCAGCCCCCCAAGTAGTTGGGACCACAGGTGCGTGCCACCGTACCCAGCTAACTTTTGTGTTTTTTGTAGAGATGGGGTTTCACTATGTTGCCCAGCCTTGTTTCAAACTCTTGGACTCAAGTGGTTCACCTGCCTCAGCCTCCCAAAGTGCTGGGATGATAGGGGTGAGGCACCACGCTTGGTTAATTTTTTTTTTTATATGGGAGAAAGAAGCACATGTTTGAATGGTTAGGAGGTGAAATTGGAAGACTTAGGGAAGAGGGAATGCTTACACACCTCAATGGTTGTGCAAATGTAGGAGGTAGTGGGCTCCAGATGGGGGAGATGGTTCTAGAGAGAAGAGAGAACAACTCTTCCACTGCGCCGGGAGGGAAGGATGAGGCAGAGAGAGCAGATGCATTAGGGATTAGCTGTTGTGGGCAGGAATGGGAGGACAGATGGACTGTGGTATTTAGTCTGTGCAGTAACAGACACAATTCTCTTTCTAGGTTTGTAGGGGGTGAGAGTTGGAGATTTTGGGAGAGTGGAGAAGGTCTTAATGGTCATCCTGGAGAATGAAAGGGCAAGCTCACTAGATTGCCATCAGCACTGGGGCCCTGCTTGGGCTTAGTGACCAGGAACTGACAGTGGGATCAATCTGTACAACTGCAAGATTGTGCTTGGCAGTACTTGGGCACTTGCTCACAGCCAGGGAACAGGTGGTCAGCTCTAGTCATGCAGGCTTGGGGTGTTTTCAGGTCGCTATGATGGAAGGACAATAGGCAATGGAAACGGACAAGAGAATAAATCAGAGGTTCTCAGTGACAGAAGGGATGGTAGCACCCTGCTGTGGTGTCTGGAAGTAGGCAAGGCTGTTTTGGGTTCTCACAATGAAGGGGAGCATATTGGAATTTAGTGGGCAGGACCCAGGGATGCTAAATGCCCTCAATGTGGAAGAGGGTACCTAACAACAAATAATCATCCCCTGCAAATTGCCAATCATACCCAATGATAAATGATGAAACTAAGGGACTGTGGGCTTAGCTAACTAAGCCAGACAAATAGGGAGGTAAAGAAAGGTGGAGGTAGGTTAAGAGTAGGAAGACCTGAGCAGGTGAAGATCAGACCAAATCAGGAAAGGCTGAGCATGCAAGCTGGCAGGATTAGTGTCTGTGGTCAGACGGTGGGTGTCTGAATCCCTGATTTCAGAAGCAGGCAGTTTCCAGTGATGCAGCATGAAAGAGGACTCCAGTTTGAGTCTTTTGAAAAGCAAATGTCAAGATAGAGTTTGATGTGCAAGAGATTTATTGGGGTAACATTGTAGAGGGTAAAGGGGAGAGTAGCAGGAGTGGGTGGGGAAAGTCTTCAGACCAGGATGCAGGGCTGACACCTGTGACAGGAGAGGCACAGGAAGGAGGGTTGGGTGGGAGAAGCTTCAGAGAGCAGCCCCAGACTGATGGGGGAGCTCCAGAGGAAAGACGGCCCACTGGGGGTCCCAAGGAGGGCAGGAATGGTTGGCCTCTGGTACCCTGTAGTGTTCATCATGGCCTTGCACAAAACTGCAGCCAATCTGAAGATGCAGCTGATGGAGGCTGTCCACCAGCCCCCTCCACCAAGCAGATTGTTCTGAAGTGAGACTGAGCAATGCACCACCAGGGCCACCACATGGGGGTAGCAGATGTAGTGTGTGGGTAACGGAAGCTCCAAAAGAGCAGGACTAGCTTTTTTTTCTTTTCTTTTCTTTTCTTTTTTTTTTTTTTTTTGAGACAGAGTCTCAATCTGTCACCCAGACTGAAGTGCAGCAGCATGATCTCGGCTCACTGAAACCTCCACCTCCCAGGCTCAAGCGATTCTCCTGCCTCAGCCTCCCGAGTAGCTAGGATTACAGGTAGGCACTACTACCACTCGGCTAATTTTTATATTTTTGGTAGAAACAGGGTTTCACCATGTTGGCCAGGCTGGTGTTGAACTCTTGACTTCAGATGATCCACCCACGTTGGCCTCCCAAAGTACTGGGATTACAGGTGTGTGCCACCACGGCCCGTGTATTTTTAAAATTTTGCCTTTTCTCATATTTTAGCCCTAATGCTTTGACACATTCAAATTTCATTCAAAAGTTTGTCAAATGAACTAATGAATATATGTCAAGAAACTGAGAGAGTAGAGCATAGAGATAAAGTCTTCCCATTAGGGTTACAGTCCAGCTCCACCACTTACTAACTCATCTTAGGAAAACTATCACTGAATGGGAATGGTGATAAATAGCTCCTACTCTGTGGGTCTTTGTGAGGATTTAAAGAGACTTTAGGAAGAAGACCCAGCACAGTATCTGGAAAATGGTATGCAATCAATGATAACTACTAGTAGTATGATTATTTCTGCCCCTTTCCATTATCTTTTGCAAGAAAACCTTTTAAGAACAAATAGAAACATGTTCAGGCAGTTGGACTACGTTACTTCTTCCTATATTAGACTTTTTTTCACTTTCTATATTAGACCCCGTGCTCCTGGAAAGTGATGAATCCATGTTTTCTTGCTTTGTAAATCATCATAGTGCCCCGAACAATGTTCTAAACACAGTTATTATTTACATCATATAGGTAGAATAAAGATGAAACAAGGGGAGAGTCACCCCGCAGACATTATCAGAGACTTAATGAGTTCTTGGGTGAGAGAGTAAGAATGTGAGTACTCTGTGAGTGTGTCAGAGCTGGAGGAGGGTGGGTTTCACCAATCCTAGATAAATATCACCCTGGATCCGTGTCTTCTCAGCCAGGGAAAGGAAGCAACTTGCTTTTCCTTTTGAACAAAGCCTGTGCCTGAATGAACATCTCTGGAGAGAAATGTGTTTGTACATTAAACTGGTAATTAAAGGTCCCCAAAAAACCAAGTCTCATTACTCAGCTTAAGGAGCTGCCTAGATAGCGTCTGGCATAGTGTCAAGTGTCTGCTTGGTGCAAAGCTGAGCCTGGAGTCGTCCCATAGGCTGGGGGACCTTGGAGACCTGCCTCCTGGGGCTCTCCTGCACCAGACTCATGTTTACATTGGGCTGATCATAAACCAAGCAGGTCCTCACACTTCTCAGGTTTCATTGTTCTCCTTTCTAAATATTTAAACAGGCTGTTAAGAAGAGGGCCGTGTCAACTGCCTGATTCAGTGAACATTACAATGGTTAATTGTCGGGATCACAACAGACGTCACAAACTCCAGGCAGGTTAAAATCTCTCAGCCTTGAGGAAAGCTGCTGCCAGTCATTCTTCTCTAGACTGAAAGAGTCTGTTAGAATCAAGTTCAGATAAGGTAACACTGATCACGTCAATTTCTTCTGCACAAAATAGAGCATGTGGTTTGTACTTTACAAATATTTGTCTAATTAATCACTTTCACTGAGGCAGGGAGATAATAATACCTTATCTTTGTAAAATGCTTCCTATTTGCAAAGCACTTTCACCCATATCATCTAATTTGCTCTTTATTGTTGGGTGTTATTTCTTAGCCAGACTAGGGATGATCCTAGTTATTAATATTAATATTAAAAGCAACCACCACCCCAACCATAGCAGCTGATTTACTGACAGCTTTCTATGTTCCATGCACTGTTTTAAGTACATTACAAGTAGGATGATCAGTGGGAACAGACACCAAAAGAATAAAAAAGATCATGCATTTGCTTTGCACATATTGAATTTTATGCACTTGCTGGGAGGATGCTATACTTGGAATATTTTTCCCCTCCAAACCTCATGTTGAAATTTGATCCCCATTGTTGGAGGTGGGGCCTAACAGGAGGTGTTTGGGTCAAGGTGTGGATCCCTTATGAATGACTTGGTGCTGTTCTCAAGGTAGTGAGTTCTTGCTCTGTTAGTTCCCTCGGCAGCTGGTTATTAAAAAAAAAAAAAAAAAAAAAAGCCTACCCCAGCCCCTGGCTCTCCCTTGCTTCCTCTCTCACCATATGATCTCTGCACAAGCCAGCTCTGGCTCCTGTTCACCTTCCACGATGAGTGAAAGCAGCCTGGGGCCTTCACCAGGAGCAGATGCTGGCACCTGTTTCTTGTACAGCCCGCAGAACTGTAAACCAAGTCAATCTCTTTTTCACAAATTCCCCAGTCTCAGGTATTCCTTCACAGCAATATAAAACTGATTAAGACAGAGGTACTCAGGGTGGCACATTTTTGGACAGTTTCTCCTAGGAAAAACCTTGCTCCCTACAACTAACTTCGATTCTCTCCATCATCCTTTCCATGGCTTCCAAGACGTTCCAGGATCTAGCTCCTTTTCTGTAGTATTCTGAATAAGCCAAATAACTATAATTGATAATAACACAACACTAATGGGGCATGCCTATATGTTAGGCTTTGTTGTAAGCAGTTTCAAGGCATTCTCTCATTTAATCCTCACAACAGCACCATGAGGTGGGTAGAGTTATTGTCTCTATTTTCAGATCAGGAAACTGAGGCATAAAGAGGTTAAGCAATGTGCCTGCGGTCACACAGCTATTAAGTGGTGTGCTGGGACTCTAGCTCACATGGTCTGGCTCTAGTGTCTGTGTTCTTAATCACCACACTGTGTTTCATGGCTGGTAGATTGTGGCATCCCTTTCTGCCAAGATTGGACCTAACTTGACAAACATGGGGTCAGTGAGCCCCGTTGACACCTCTTTGCTCTAGATGAAACAATGAAGGCTCAAAGAGGTCACGTGACCTTCTGAGGAAGTCCCTTCTCAATCTTCAATGTCCAAGTTCATTGCTAATTTTACTATGCCATGCTGTCCTCCTGATATGGTTTGGATTTGTGTCACTGCCCAAATCTCATGTTGAATTAGAGGAAGGGCCTACTAGGAGGTGATTGGATCATGAGGATGGATTTCCCCCTTTCTGTTCTCCTGACAGTGAGTGAATTCTCATGAGATATGATGGTTTAAAAGTGTGTGGCACTTCCCCCTTTGCTCTGTCTCCTGCCACCACGTGAAAAAGGTGCTTGCTTCCTTTTCACCTTCTGCCATGATTGCAAGTTACCTGAGGCCTTCCTGTCATGCTTCCTGTTAAGCCTGTGGAACTGTGAGTCAATTAAATATTTTTTCTTCATAAATTACCAAGTCTCAGGTAGTTCCTGATAGCAGTGTGAGAACAGGCTAATACACCTGCCAAGTTTTAGCATCTCAAACTGAGATACCAAAGCATAAGAGGCAGGTGTCAACTATTTTTTTAAATTAAGCTCTTGGGAGTTGCATAGCGCCCCCCACCCCCGCCAATTAAAATTCATTTTTCACTTTCCTCCATAAAAATGCTTACTTTTGTAATTAATCAGAGAGGAAGAAACCACCAGAAGCCTTCATTTGCTTGGCCTTTCTGGTTGGCCAGCTGTTCTTTGGACATTTGTGTGTTAAACTCCTGGAGGCAGAGTCTTCTTTTCCAAGCTCTCCTGTCTAGGTGCTGACTGCCTGCACTTTTGCTGCCCCATGGTCGTGTTGACTTGAGTTTCCAGAGGGGAGCTGATGTGGGGTATGTCCAGCCTATTCTGGACAAGAGGATGCAACACACTATTACACAAGTTGCCCACACACCAATTAGGCAAATAGTCTACTTTTGCAGGAATTAGACATTTCTTACATTGAGGAAAAGTTGTCCTGGCTGAGGCCTCCTGGTTTGCTCCAGTGGGAATCAAATTATTGGTTTGTAAGAGAACATTTCTGCAATTATCCCTGAAAGAGCACCATCTACCATCTTGTGGGCTACATTTTTTTTTCCCACTTGACTGTCTCTGTAGTTTTATTTGTTTTTAGTTTAGATTTTTTTTTAAACACAGCTTATTACCACTTTTTAAATCTGCATGAAAGTGGAAAATGGTTTTTCCTTATAAAAGACTGTGAGTATCAGGGTAACCTCTACTCTGCCTTCAAACAGGACTGAGATTACTGGCCACTCCCACTGCTGACCACTTTTGAAGTGCTTAGTGAGTTACGCCTGTGAACCTGTTAGCACCACGCTCCACGAGGGTCAAACATTTTCAAATGATCATAATGTGGTTGCTAAAGACACAGCCTCTGTGAGACTTGAAATGTCACAATTGTTTAAACAGTCCTGAGAAAATGACCCTGAAATCACATCCACCTGGGCGAAGCCCATTTCCCCTCCACTTGAAAGCACCACGGTACACACACACACACACCTCCAACATATACAGATGTTATCAGAACTCCAGAAAGCACCAAAACACTGCACTGCACACCACTTCATTTAATTAAAAAACCACTAGTTCTCAACCTCGGCTGCACATTACAATCCCCTGGGGAGCATGGCTACCTTTTGAACATTCTGATGTCCAGGACTGACAACCCAGAGGTTGTGATTTAATTGTTTTGGATAGGGCATGGTGACCAACTGTCCCTATATGCCCAGGACTGAGAAGTTTCCAGGATGTAGGACTTTCGGTGCTAAAACACAGAAGATTCCAGGAATCTGGGACTAGCTAGTCACCCTGGTGGAGACAGGCTGTTTTTGTAAATGTCCCTGGCGATTCTATTCTGCAGTGAGGGTTGAGAACCATTGGGCTAAACTTTCTCAACTTTAACCCACATGCTGAGGACAAGTAACTTAAAACTTGAGAAAATATTGTTCTTTTGTAGAGGATTTCTTTTTTCATACTACTACTAATAAAGAGACCCTCTGTAAATGAGTCCTGGCCAACTGGTGCCTTGCCTTCCCTTCAAGGGCCCCAAAAGAGTCACTGTTCCTGGGAGCAGCTTGCTATTTCCTCCCCTCACTGGGCAGAAATCCACACAATGAGCCCCTCTGTTAAAGTAAGGAGGGAATATGGAGTTGATTATTTTATAATTAAAGAAGACTCTGGGGGAGATGTTTTGCTCAGGAGCCCAGCATTCCAAACTGGGTCACTGTGAGCTGGAGCTGTCATCAGCCCTAACCAGCAGGAAATACCAAGCAGAGCAGATATTCTTTCTTTACTTTTCAGTTGACTTTCACGTGACTTGTTTACATCCAGCAAGGCTTGTAATAATGCCTTGTTTATATCCATCATCTTCCTCCTGAGTTGCCAAGCTGGGAATGGAAGAAGAGCATGTATACCTGGGAAACTTCTAGACATACTGTGGCTCTCAACCCTGGTATCATATTAAATCAGCTGGGAAGCTTTTAAGAATCCAGATGCTCAGGCCCAACCCCCATTCAATTAGGTCAGGATCTCTGGGGGTGGGAACCAGGAAATGCTTTCTGAAATCTCCCCCGGGGCATTATAACATATAGCCAGGGCTGAGAATCACTGCTTTAGAGTACTGATTCTCAAGGTGTGGACTCGGAACTAGCTGCATCAGCATCACCTGGCAACTTGTTAGAAATGCACATTCTCAGGGCCCATCCTGGACCTACTGAATCAGAGACTGTGAGGATAGTCCCCGGCAATTGATTTTAACAAGTCTTAGGTAATTCTCAGGCATGATAAAATTGAGAACCAGTCTGGATGACAAGGCTGTAATATTATTTTTTTTAATCTGCTGGGATACTTCCACTGTGAGCTGTTGCCTCTTATTTTCTTATCTGCAGCAAAACCCAAATTTCTCTTTTGATGACTGTCAGAAATAACATGGTTATTCCTGGCTCACCTGGGATGAAAAAACACAGATGACACACCTGGGTCTCTATGCTTATTTCTGGTCTGGGAACCAACAAAGCAATCTTATGAATAGCCATATGAAGCAGTGGAGGCAAATTATTTGGTTTCCTCTAATTAAGTCATCTGCTTTAGCATTGTCTTACAGGGTACAACTTTCTAGTCTTCTGCTGTCTCTTCATCTATCAAGCTTAGAGCTGCCAGAAAAAAAAAAAATGTGGCCCAAACAGGTTTAATTAGAGAGATACTGAGTTAAAGTTCCTGAGGAAAATCTATGATACCATAGGTTGGGGTGTTTATTGTGTAGAATTGGGGGTAGAGAACCTAAATTTACTCTAATTAAGCAGGGTTTGTGTCAACACTGGAGGATGGGAAGCCAGGCAGAGAGAAGAGGGTGATCAGCAGCAATCTGAGCCAAGAGAAGTGAAAGCAAAGATGACATGTTCTCCCATCTGGAGAGTTACTTAAATTTGAGCATCTAAAATCTTTTGACCCAAGAGTTACTGAGAGACACAAATGAGTATTTTTGTATTAGGGAAGCTCAAAGATTGTCATCTCCTGTCCTTTCCTTCAATATACAGGACCAAATCACAGGAAAAGACAGCTGACTTTGTACATGTCTTTATAAGTCTCTTACAATTTGGGGATCCAAAATGTTATTTTTTAATTTTTTTTTGAAGCAGAGTCTTGCTCTGTTACTCAGGCTGGAGTGCTTCAGCCTCCTGAGTAGCTGGGACTACAGGTGCACACCACCACACCCAGCTAATTTTTGTGTTTTTTTTGTAGAGACAGATTTTCACCATGTTGCCCAGACCAGTCTTGAACTACTCGCCTCAAGTGCTCTGCCTGCCTCAGCCTCCCAAAGTGCTGGGATTACAGGCATGAGCCACCATGCCCAGGCCCCAAAATGTTATTTTTTCAAAGTAAAAATCAAAGAATATTAGGTGGTGAACTAACCTGTATTCAGTTGCGCATATAATATATTTTAATCCTTATGGCAGCACTATGAGGTAAGTATCATTGGCTTGATTTTACAAATTAGAACACCGAGGATCAGAGACACTAAGCAAATAACTTATCTGTTAAATGACAGAGCTAAGATTCTAATCCAGGTTCGTCCAAACCTGAGGCCTTTCTTTGCTTCCTTGGTCCAAAAAATATTAACTGGAGCTTAGACTTGTGTAGCCAGCTGGCAGTTCTACATCCAACCACGACACAAATAGATTAGTCCAGAACTTCACCCATACAAGGAGACACTGTTGGGGCAATTCTCTATGGTGCTTCTACGTATCTTGTGATAGATTCTATCCCAGACTATCTTTCCAAGGATGTTTATAGAGCAAAGAGCCACAGAAGATATACGTCTCTCCAGGGAAGAGGACAGATTGGTTTTCTGACTATGATAAAATGGATAACATATCTCTCTGGGACAAAGGTTGGGTAAGTTTACTACGGCCTCCCCCTTATAAGTTTGAGGACTTCTGCTTGAGTTTTCTCAGACCCACTATGTGTACAACACCCATCCACCTGGGCCTGCCTCCGCATTGCCCTCACGGGACTTAAGAGGCAAGGGAAACCACTGTGGCCATGAGTGATAAAGTCCTTTATCTCTAACCTAGGAGTCTCATGTCTTCTGCCAGCATCAATGAAACTGTGGCAGGCTCACTTGTTAGCTTGCAAACAGGGTAAAATCTCAGACCCTTCACAGTCCTTGATAGACATGGATTCCTCCTCCTTAGTGTATGTAGCAGCACATGGAATTCCTTCAGACTTCCTTGGTTCTGAGTGAGCGCAACTAGCTGACTGGAGTTGGTGTGTTAGAATCGTCCCACTATTCCCTTTCTTCCTCTGTCCCTTTTGCCGCGATTACTGAACCTGAGCAGTCACTAGAATGGACAGTGGGGATTTAGGAAGACAGTGTTAAGCAGATGTTAACATCAAAAAGACCTGAGGCTCATGTGTATACCGAGTTGAAACCCCACTGTCATTGAATGAGGTTGAAAGTGACTTTAGTAGTTTAGGCTACTTTCCACTCAAAGGGGCAAACTTAATAGAACCTCTTGTCATTAATCCCTCCATGATGGAAGCTCATACCTAAAAAGGAAAGTGAAATTGACTCAATATTTACAACTCTATGGTGTCTTCTCTTTGATCTTAGTCCTGTTAGCAGCAGCAAATCATACGAGTATGCAGCAACCTCAATTCTTGCCTCTTCAGAAGAAATAATTCAACAAGGGGCATAAGGCAGAGGGAGAGACGGAGGCAAGTTTGAGAGCAGGAGTGGAAGTTTACTAAAAAGTTTACAGCAGGAACAAAACGAAGTAAAGTACACTTGGAAGAGAGCCAAGTGGGCGACTTGAGAGATTCAAGTGCATGACGATTTGACCTTTGACTTGGGGTTGTATACATTGGCATGCTTCCAGGGGGTTGCATTACTTCTCTCCTGATTCTTCCCTTGGGGTGGGCTGTCCGTGTGCCCGGTGGCCTGCCAGCACCTGGGAGGGGCTGCACGTGCAGTGTGTTTATTGAAGCTGTGCTCATGATCACTTGAGGTTCTTCCGTTACCAGCAGAGTGTTCCTAGAGGAACACTAGAGGTCATACACCGGGTAAACGCCTCCATTTTGCCTCTTAGTGTGCATGCTTAAGCCCACTTGCTCAACTCCTGAGATCTTATTGGGAAGCTGCTGATCACCAGTTTCAGGTGTTTTCTGTGTATTGGGAGACTGCCTTTCCCTGACGCTGGCTGCAACCCATTATTATTTTAGAGAGGCAGTTTAACAAACAACCGCCTGACCATCACCTGATGGTCGCCTGATAATCCTGGTTCAGGGGACCCTCTCCTGCCCTGCTCAAGTCTGCCTAACTACCTACTGTGACAGTCCTGTCTTCTAAATAAACATAGACTAAGGTGGATCTTCAAATACCTTCCATCTACCACCCATTTTTCCCATCCCCACACCCCCAAGTCTAGGCAAACATTTTCCAATCTATCAACCACTCCTTCTTAACATGAGGAATAGACCCTGTGCCCTTCCAGGCTTTCTCCTCTGAAGAGGCTCTATTTTGTCCACCTTTTCATCTAAGTCCTTTAAAAAAAAAATCATTTGGTTCTTGAATAGGCAATACCTGCATGCAGTACAGAATTCAAAAGATACAAGTGTGTTTCCTTCCCTGTCAAACTCCAGCCACCCACTCCCCTCCTCCAATCACTCTTACTGGTGTCTTATTGTCTTATTCTTCCTCCTATTCTGTATATAGTCAAGGTTCATTGAATAGGCTGAACATACAGGGCACAACCAGAAAACAGCTTTGGGTTGTTTTTTTCCTCATTACTATCTTTAAACTCAGCAGACGGTTTTTGTTTTTTGTTTTTTTCTTTTTTCCAGCATATCAGCCAAAATCTTTTAGGCATTCAAATGCCTGTTTTAGTATGAGATTTAAGTTTTAGTCTTACACTTGACACAATGCTTCTCTCTCCCCTGCAGCTCAGACTGGACCTTCAGACCAGGCACCAGCAGCAAAGAAGTGGAATGTAGTTTGTTACTTCCCTGTGCCTCTATCTCCTCTCCACTATTTCTGATGCCTCCAGGATTAGGGTTGTTAAAGGCGTGATTAGAGGGAAAGGAAGAGTCTTCCTTCATAAATACTGTTGTTATTCATCCTTGATGCCCTATGTGGCCATGTGCTAATATATCAATACAGTCTCAAGGCAGAACACAAAATAGGTGCTCAACAAGTGTTAAGTGAATGAATGAATTTATGAGTAAATGGATGACTGGAACTCAGCAATAGGTGTGTCCCAATTGACAAAAGATTAGAAAACACCAGCGTATACCATTAAAAAGGACAAAAAAAAATATGTATACACAGCTCTGCTTGATACACCAAGGTCCATGGGGGAGAAGAGATAAACATGTGCATTCAAGTTATCACTCTAAGCCAACAATGACCTTTTAGAAAATGTAATATCCAGGACTGTGTTAACATAATACTAGCACAAGGATAGTGGAACTCTGTATTTATATTGCTTATTTTGAATATTAAGAGTTCTCAGGTAGGTTCTCTCAACTTGCAAACAAGCTGTAGTCATTTTTTAGCCCTAAGCCAGACTTCATATTTATCCTTATGAAATTTTATCTTTTTAGTTTTGACCCATGGTTCCCCTCTCTTGTGATCTCTTTTTAATACTTATCTATTATTTAAAATATAATTGAGCCTCCAAGAGTTTTCCTCTGAAAATATAGCAAGATCTTTCATGTGTTTATTAAGTGAACTAATAAAAATATTGGCCAAATACAAAGCCATTGGAAATCCTCCTCTAGTCTGAGACATACTTTTTGACACAATAGCATCGTTTACATTCAGTATCATTTAGGGTTAAGTTCAGCTGCATGTAACAGAAAATAAATAAATAAATAAGATAAGAGTTTAGTTCTTTCTCACTTAAAGTAAACCTGCAAACCAGCAGTACACAGCTAGTATAGCAACTGTGACAGGTACTAAGGACCCAAGGGTTTACTTTCTTTCGGCTTCATAACATGATCTTAAGACCACCCAATGGGTTAAGATAGCTGCTGGAGCTCCAGCCATTACATCCCTAATCTAACCAATAGGAAGGAGAAGGATAGAGGCAAAGTGTGTAACTACTCAATGGATTCTTCCTGCCTAGTGTACAGATAAAATCAGACCATGGCATTGCAATAAAGAAAGTGTTTAATAGATATGAAGCTGGCCACACCACATGGGAGACAGAGTTATTACTCAAATCAATCTCTCTGAAAATTTAGGGGCCAGGATTTTTCAAAGGTAGTTTGGGCTAAGGGGTGGGGATGGCTAGGCAATGGGTGCTTGCTCTGATTGTTTGGGGGTGCAATCACAGGGGTGTGGGAAATGGTCCTCCTATGCACTCAGTCATTCTGGTGGGGCCACAGGAGTGGTTAGTGGGTCCAGGTGGAGCCAACGATTGTCAGACCTGCAAAAAACCTGAAAAGATATCTTAAAGGGCCAATCTTAGGTTCTACAATAGTGATGTTATCTGCAGGAGTAATATGGGAAGTTGCATAGCCTGTGACCTCCAGAATAATGGCTGGCATTCATTCATGTCTACACCTTAGCAGAATTCAGGCTCCTCTATCCTCCTACACTGGTGGTCTCTCATTAGCTTTACAAAGGCAGTTGAATTTGGGGGAAGGGCTATTATCATTTAAACTGTAAACTAAATGTCCCCCAAAGTTAGTTTGGTCTAAGCCCAGGAATAACTAAGGGCAGCTTGAAGGCAAAAGGCAAGATGGGGTTGGCTAGGTCAGATCTCCCCGACTGCCATAATTTTCTCACTGTTATAATTTTTGCAAAGGTGGTTTTAATGGGACCCCTTCCTTTTAGGAAGACTTGAAAACATTGAGATTCTGTCACCCAGACTGGAGTGCAGTGGTGTGATCTTGGCTCACTGCCACCTCTGCCTCCCAGGTTCAAGCAATTCTCCTGCCTCAGCCTCCTCAATAGCTGGGACTACAGGCGTGTGCCACCACGCCCGGCTAATTTTTGTATTTTTAGTAGAGATGGGGTTTCACCATGTTGGCCAGGCTGGTCTTGAACTCCTGACCTTGTGATCCACCTGCCTTGGCTTCCCAAAGTGCTGGGATTACAGGCATGAGCCACCATGCCCAGCCCATGCTGTACATTTTACTTAACTAGAATCTAGTCTATATTTAAGAAGAATGTGAGAAAATTTTTGTTAAATTCCTTGTGAGTATTATGGTTATAGTAATAACTATCTAATTCTTCTGATATACTAACTTAACACTCTTACCCCAAATCAAATGAGTTAGACAAAATTTATCTGTAATAAATCCATGTTTGTGTCTAGTTATCACCATGTTCATTTTTTCCTTTGATTGTTCATAATCCATAGGTTTAAATTCTATTTGAGAATTTGGGGGGACTAAAATCTGTAAAACAAAAATAAAATCCTAAGCCCCCTAACCAATTATGAATCCCCCTATGGGCCAAGGGGATCCCAGAGAAGTCTGAAAACCAAATTCCTGGCCATGATGGAAAAGGAGGTTGGACACACCTCATCGTACTCCCTCCCTTTAGGAGTTCAGGCAGCACTGACCAGCATTAACATTAAAACAGACATCATAAGACTGACACAACAGACTCTTCGTGGCAATAAAATTCCAAATTCCAGCCTGACTCTGGTGTAGCATCACATGGCAGACTGAAGGAAATAAAAATATTTTACTACCAAATATATTTCTTTGACATATTTTGAAATGGCACTGTGAAGCCATCTTTTGGGGGGAACTGCAGAGAACTGCAGAGAATCTCGCTTAATACGGTTCAGCCTTTCCCAGGTCTAGAGGAGATTAAGACTCTGACCCCTTTAAGGGTCCAAAAGGAGACATTTACCACCTATTCTCTCTGAAAGCAGTTACCCGGAGGCTTCACCTACGTAACAAGAACCTTGGTCTCCACAGCTACCCTTAGAACTCAAGCATTCTTTTTTACTGACTTCAAGGCTTTACAAAGCTTAACTCTTAACCAAGTGACAATCAGAAAATCTTTGAATCCACTTACAACCTGTCAGCCTCACTTCACCTTCAAAACATCCAGGCTCTTTAGGCTGAACCAATGTACATTTTTAATGCACTTATTTATGATTTTACTTACAGTTCCTGTATCCCTAAAACATAAAAACCAAACTGTAACCTGACCACTTCAGGCATACTTTCTCAGAACCTGTTGATACTGTTCTCCATGCCATGGTCACTCATATTCACTCAGAATAAACCTCTAAGTAGTTTACAGAGTTGTTGTTTTTGTTGTTTTCTCACTGACCCATCAAAATAAGTAGTTTTCTGAATCCACTTCCTCTTTTGGAAAGTAGTACACACGCTCATCTCTTCTGTGCTGAGCTGATTTCTGAAATAAAATCAAAAGAAGTTCATCATTACAATTGCAACTTCTCTAGTTCCTTGGGTTATAATCTATATCCATTGGGATTCAAACTGAAACACAAATACTAGGTGGAATCAAGAATTCATTCTAGGGATTTGACTTCAGGCACTTGCGGACGCTTGTCTTACATCTGGTGTTGGAGTCTGAATTCTGCAGGGCAGCGGGTCAGGGTGGCAAGGCAGATGCAGAGCAGGGAAGTGAGGACAGACTGGAGCCATCTTCTGCCTTGTGTTGTCTCCAAGTCTGGCCCCTTTGGCTCAAGGACCTAAACATGTGCTGCCTGGGTCTGAGAGCTGAAGGAGTGGATCATCTGGCTGCTTCTGCAGGCCCACAACATGAGCCAGCAGACTAGCGGCATGCCTCAGATGCCCTGGTGATCCTCCTCCCACCTTCAGAGCGGGGAAAGAACAAGGCTGCCACTTCCCTTTTGGCTTCCAACTGTGGTGCAAATGTATCTTTGCTGGGCCCTTGCCGGGAACCATGCAGGGTAGGGGATTCTGGGAAATGTAGTTCCAGCTGAGCTAAAAGGCCCCACAAAGCTGTCAATTTGAAGTCTTTAAGGCTGAAATCCTCCTACTATCTTGTGACCTATTTTTTCTTAATAATGTTCATCTTATCCTTTCTACTTTAAGTTTATTTCCCTTGGTAGAGAAAATAGAAAGTGAATAGATAGAGTAATCCTGCTTTCTCTCCATTATTCGCTAGCGTTGTGCTGTATGCACCCAGCAGTGGGCTACTCCCCTCTTGCTCCCTGTGACTCTGATGAGAGCTAAAGTGTCCTGTCTGTCCTTGGTAGGTCCCATGAGCTCCTGCTCTTCTGAAATGTCCCCTTCTCAAGCTATTGGATCAGATCCATTGTTGTTCTGAATGAAATTCATTGTTTCCCTTCTTTTGTCTGTGCTAAAATCTAAGAGGGTGTGGGCTCATTGTCTCAAGGCTTATACATTCACACTTCTCTTGCTTTAGAGTCAAAAGTAAGTCTAATGTAGGAATTCCCCTTCCTTCTCAACAGTGGGGCACCACACCACCAAGGCCATGTAACAGGACAGACATACCCTTCTGGCTACCTGCTGCCCTTCTGTGATCATTTTTCCCTTTGAGACTGCCCTTTATGCAATTAAAAAAAATAATTTGGACAAAACTGTGTATGTGTATGCAAACATGTGTGTGTCTACAGGATATAATTTGCCCTGGTAAGGCGGGCCTACCCAGTAGTTTGACTTCACAAACACTGCATCTCCTGGGGGTGGCTTGGAGCAGTCTGTAGGGAGTATGGAGGTGAAGAGCAGAATTGGCCAAAACCTCTAAAAAGAGAATGACAGAGAGAGAGAGAGAGAGAGAGATGTATTCTTTCCCTCAACAAAGAGTAGAGGCTGACTTTAACCCCTGAGAAAGAGAGAGAGAGAGTGAGTGTGTGTGTGTGTGTGTGTGTGTGTGTGTGTATGTGTGTGTGTAAGGGCTGCCAACGGCAGGAAAAGCTACAGAAACAAAAGCCTTCACTGCAGAGTCAAAAAATGAACAGGAAATGGTCATTAACATCCTGCAAATGTTCTGATCTGCTGTAGAGGCCCTGACTCCTAGGTGATTAAATGTGAAAGAATTTCAAAAATCAGGCTGTGAAATGAGTCTTTTTAGTTAGGAGAGAAGGAAAGCCCTATTGGGTAATTCTAAACCTTAAGAACTGAAGGAGAGTCTCCAAATTTCAGCGCCAGCATCCTATTTAATGTAGATCTCCTCTGCTGCTTTCTTCAGACATAATCCCAAATTTCCCCCTAAAAGCACCGAGTTAGTTACTAAGTATTTTGGTAGCCATTGCCTCCCAAGGGGACAAGGCTCTTCTATGTCCTCTTGGAGCTCTCTGAATTGTCCCTTCTACCCTAAGTCACCAGAGTCAGAAGACCCTCGAAAATTTTTGAACTAAAACACAAAACGGAAAACAATAAGAACAAAGGGTATTTTCTCCTCTTTCTTTATTTACTTGTTTTAATTGGTATTTATATTTACCTATGTGAAACCGTATTGCTCTGACCTTGTCACATGGCATGGATTCATATCTGGAATGAGGTTAAGTCTTCTGGAGCTGTGCTACATTTTTATTCTTAACCTGAGGAATATGAGAATTCCGACACCCATTGGTGATAAGCCTCCATTTACTTCTAGATTTAACCTAATACCATGCAACAGTCTTGATCCACAGTGCTTGAGTTAATTGTACTGGACAAGGCAAGTGTGTGTCCAGGTGGTAGACATGTCTATGAGATGGATTAAAGATGCAACAGATACAAACATCTCTAATTCAGAGGTGCTTTATCTTGTACATGGCGGGAACAGCAACTGCATATCTAGCACATGGTATATACATAATAGCAAACATTTAGCATATTGTACCACTATTTAATTCTTACAGCAATCCTATAAGAATACATATTGTTACATTAATAATTTCATCTTATAGATGAGAGAACTAGGTTCTGAGATATTAAGTAATTTCTTTGCCCAAGGTCTGGGCAGTTTTAGAACTGGGATTTTTGACCTGGCCATTACACTTCCTGCTCCTCGGAAAGGTCTGAAGCAGCTCCACTTTTATAAGTGATGGAATTAGGCTCCAACTCTGGTTAACCTGCAGGAGGTTTCTGAACAGGAACAGTTCACAGCTTGCTCAGCTGCCATACTTTTCTCTGTGGTCTTTGTTTTCGGCTGTGTTTTGGTTTTCAAGACAATCATGAACCTCACCACAATTGGAAGACATCTCATCTTTGATGAGCTCTGACAGGGCTGATGAGTTGGTTCCTGGACTCTCCACGGTTGCTGTTGGGCTTTAGGCTAGAACTCTTCTGTACTTTCATCTCTTTGAATACGTTTCAGGCAGCAGTTAAGCGGGTCTGAAATTACATGTGAAATCAAATTTAAAAACAACTGATTATTTTCTCTTCCTCAGTCTTTCATCTATAAAATATAAATGTGAGTCCCTTTTTTTTTTGTTTTAGAACTAAACTAGGGTCTGTTTGCCAAGTGCGGTAAGA
The DNA here is from genome assembly GCF_000001405.40 of Homo sapiens. NCBI lineage: Eukaryota > Metazoa > Chordata > Mammalia > Primates > Hominidae > Homo > Homo sapiens. The sequence continues at coordinate 15,964,079 of NC_000006.12, forward strand.
CCAGATATCCACACCAAGTTTTGCATCAGGAGAAAGAAAGGTGTTTATTTATCGGGCACCAAGCAAGGAGGACTATGCAGCCAATGCTTAAATCCTGACCTCCCTGATGGCTTGTAGGTTAGGGGCACATTTCAGGAAAGCAGAAGTTACAGGCACAATTATAAATCAATACATGGCACTTATTCCTTGGTTTTGTACTAAAGGGGTGGGATATTTTGGGGAGTGGCTATAAGTCATAGGTAGATTCAAGGATTTTCTGATTTGCAAAAGCTTTATTTAAAAATTTAGGGTCAGCAGAAAAGAATGTTGATTCTAGCTCGTGGGTGTGACTTTCTCCAGGCCCCTCAGGAAGAAATTTAGAACAAAGAATGGGGCTCAAAGTTCAGTCCCTAGGTCCCCCTTATCTGAGGTCTATGGTGGGCAGATCCCTCTGGTGGGGGTCAAGTTTCTGAAAAGCAACTCTGGAAACATGTGTTAAGATATTATCTTAATTTCTGTAGGGGAACCAAACATCCCATGATTCTAGCTTCCATGGCTATCGTTTTAGGCTACAATTACCTTCTTGCTTATCAAGTCGCTTATTTACTTTTCTGGGCTAGCTAGGTACCTAGAATTTCACTTGAAGAAACTCAAGATTTTCCTTCATTTCTATGCTTGGAGGGTGGGCACAGGTCCCTAAGAGGTGAGTCCCCGCTCTGTTTCACGTTTTCATTTTTTCTGAAATCTACAGCACCTCTCATCAACCTCTAGTGTCAGTTTCACAGTGGTTCATATTAAGGCATGGTTGGCTGGAGTAGCTCATCATCATTTCTATTTAAAAACCTAAAAATGTGACAGTCTTAAAGTTAGACTGCTGAGGATAGGATGGGATCCTTCATCAATATGGAGGCTTCTGTGACCTAATCTCATCAGAAGATCCTTGGCTTGGTTGATTCAGTGGCCGGGATGGGTTTTGCACTGGCGTCTTTGAGCAGTTTCCTCTTTGTGACAAGGCCAGTGAGGGTTAGGCTTGTAGTCTAGGAATGGTAGTTCTGAATCAAGATCAAGTCTTGGTCTAATTAGTGATATAATCTGTTCAACCAGTAAAATTAATACATGGAATTTGCCCAAGAATAGCTGAAGCTGGTACCTTTTATTGGAGAGACTCCACTGAGACCCCAGATATCTCAAAATACCTTTCCTTTTGTTTCACCTTGGCTTATCTTGGTCCTATTACCTGCAATAAGATTATTCCCAATATCCCAGACTAAACTAGGGTCTGTTTGCCCGGTGCGGTAAGACCAGATATACACACCAAGTTTTGCAGCAGGAGAAAGAAAGGTGTTTATTTATTGGGCACCACGCAAGATACTATTTATACAACAGATCTCAGAAGTTGAGCCACAGGATTTCGATTTTTTGCTAAAGTGTAAGAATGAAGACATTATGCTGAGAAGCTCTGAAGAAATTGTCAAGATTTCTTCTACTAGTACATGTTAGTGAATTAGAGTAGGCAGTGTAGCCTTAGATAATGTATGAGTTAAAGTGTGTCCCCCCAAAAGATATGTTGAAGTCCTAATCCCTAGTACTTGTGAATGTGACCTAATTTGGAAATAGGATCTTTGCAGATATCACCAAGTTAAGACAAGGTCATTCTGAAGTAGGGTGGGTCTTAATTAATATAATCATTGTCTTTCGAAAAGGAGAAAAGACATGGACACAGGGAGAATGCCTTGCGACAATGAACACAGGCATCGGAGTGCCACGTTCACAAGCCAAGGAATGCCAAGGACTGCCAACAAAGCCAGCAGCTAAGAGAAAAGCATGGAAAAGATTCTCCCCTAGAGCCTTTGAAGAGATCATGGCCCCTCCTGTCACCTTGATTTTGGACTTATGGCCTCCAGGGTTGTGAGAGAGTACATTGCTGTTGTTTGAAGCCATCTGGTTTGGGGTAATTTGCTATGGCACCTCTAGGAAGCTCCTACAGACAGCAAGGAGAGGCTGGCCCTGGTGTAGGGGTTATGGATTTCCATGGAATTAGAAAGCAGGCACTGTCTTCCTTGATGGCTATAAGTTAGAGGCAGGAGCCACCGGCAGCTCTGTATGGGTAATTTTTCAGGCCTGGGGTTCATTCCATGTGGGAGAAGCTCCTGCAAGCCAACCACAGTTCTGCTAAGGCTCTGGGCTGTTGCCTTCAGGAGGAACCCAGGCTAACCGAGCAGCACAGCACAGTTTGCAAAGGATCAGGTGCTTGGGTGGGTGCCAGAAGAAAGAAGAGTTTTCCCAACAATGTCTGTTTCACAGCTGTGCTCAGGGCCAGTTTCCCTGAAAAAAGACAGAACACATCAACTTGCTTCTGTGAAATCTAGGAGTTAACGTACCCGGTGCTTGTTCCTGGCCTGTTTGATTCTGCGCCACCTTTCTTAGGGTTAACTGACATTGCCCATTCTGATTTTTCCAACCTAAGCATTCCCTGTCTCTGTGTTTATGGCCTGCCAGCAAGACAGTTCAGGGAGCCGATTTAGTTACCTTTAGTCTGCTAATTCCACTAGGTGCTTAATAAATATTGGCCAATAAATGTTTATTTTTGCATCCAGAAAACCAATGACATGAACGCTGTGGTGCATTATCCAGAATTCTGCTCAGGACTGAAGCACTTACTATTCCAGCTGTTGGGAGTGTTGGCTGCTGAGAGCTCATGGGCAAGTCTCTCCTTAAGCTTTGCCTGAAGCAGGCTGCCTGGCCCAAAGTTATGTCCTTTGCTGGGCACTTTCTCCATTTAATGACTAGCCAATGCAGGAGTATAAAGGCCCAGTCCCCTTGCCTCAAGTAAGACCTCTCTCAAGGGTCATCCCTCCTCCAGAGCTCCCCACAGGATGGGCTGAGATCTTTATTGCAGCTACATCACAGTTTGATTTCTGCCCAATTCTCCTTCCCTTGCTTTCCTGCAGGTCTTTTTCCTAAGAACAGTCACTCCTCAGTGCGCACTCACTCCCTCACACAAATCTCAGTCTCGAGGTCTGTTTTCTGGGGACACTGATCTAAAAGATCCTTCTGCTTGATCCTATGTAAGTGAGAAATACACTAACTGCACTTATTAGGTACAGAATCTGAAATGTAAGAGCTACAGGAAGTAAAATAAAATGCCACCCTGTCTCTGCAGTGTCTCCGTCCCCAGACTAATGGCTGAGCCTTTAAGGGTCTACAGCTCATCAGGGTTCTCATGGGTTCTGAGCACAGCGCCAGCTCTCAGTAGACATCTGTTGAATAAGGTAATGGACAAGTGTTCAGGAATTTACTTTGGCCCTGAATCAACTAAATGGGCTTTTAAAAAGGTTTTCTATCCCTTTGAGGCTGGGCACAGTGGCTCACACCTGTAATCCCAGCACTTTGGGAGGCCGAGGTGGGCAGATCACTTGATGTCAGGAGTTGAAGACCCGCCTGGCCAACATGGTGAAACCCTGTCTCTACTTAAAAACAAAACAAAACAAACAAACAAGCAAAAAAACAAAAAAGCCAGGTGTGGTAGAGTGCGCCTATAATCCCAGCTACTCAGGAGGCTGAGGCACGAAAATCACTTGAACCCAGGAGGCGGAGGTTGCAGTGAACTGAGATTGTGCCACTGCACTCCATCCTGGGTGAAAGGGCAAGACTCTATCTCAAAAAACAAACAAACAAAAAAGGTTTTATATCCCTTTGTAATGGGGAGGAAGGTCTTTGGAGTCCGTATTAGTTTCCTATGGCTATATTATTATTAAGGCCAAAATAAAGACAAGAGAAATTCATTCTCTCACAGCTCTGGAGGCCAGAGTCCAAAATCAAGGTGGCCCAGGCCATGCTCCCTCTGAAGACTCCAGGGAAGGGTCTGTCCAGGCCTCTTCCCTGCTTTGGTGGTTTGCTAGCTGTCTTTAGCATTCCTTAGCTTGTAGATGCATCATGCTGAGCTCTGTCTTCATGTTCCCACGGCATTCTCCCTATGCGCGTGTCTCTGTGGCCAAATTTCCCCTTTTATAAGGACACTGTTATATTGGAATGAGGTCCCATCCTACTCTAGTATGACCTCATCTTAACTAATTACGTCTTCAACAACCCTACTTCCAAATAAGATCACATTCGGAGGTACTGGGAGTTAAAAACTTCAACACATAAATTTTGGTAAGGACATAATTCAATCCGTGACATGGCGCCTCCCACCATTTTCTATGGTGTTTTCATTTTTGGGTTCTGAATCCCAGATTCTCCACCTTGCCCTGTGGTAAGAATGCTGGGGCTGCAGAAGGAAGATGGCAGAAAAAATGGGACCCACAGCAGCAGGTCTGAGTCAGAGGCGGTCAGGTTCTAGTTGTCAGAGGAGTGAGAATATTGAAAAGCCCAACCTCAACGATGGGGCCTGGCTGGATTGGGAAAAGGTTCTGTGCATTTTGTTGGTGGCTACAAACACAACTATGTATCATTCTTTAATTGATGTAGATACTCTTCCCTCAAGACCAGGGAACTTCACTCCTCACTCCTTAAGTAGAAGCTATGCATATAATTTCCTTCCAAAGTGTGGAAAGGGGAAAAAAAAGAGTCATTTTGCAGCAGAGAAACGTGACAAACATCCCCTCAGCCAGGAGATCAAGATCAAGGTCAACAGTGATAAGTTATGTCGATAGTGCGTAGCCTTGATATGATGCAATGAAAATGACACTTCACCTCTGTGATCTTCCTCCCCAAAATTCACAACCACATATAACCATGAGGAGAAAGATCAGACATGTCCCAACTGAGGGATGGCCTACAAAATACCTAGCACTCCTCAAAACCATCAAGGCCATCAAAAACAAGAAGGGTCACAGAAGGTGCCATAGCCATGAAGAGCCTAAGGAGACATGATGACTAAACGTAACGTGGCATTCTGGAGAGGACCCTGGAACAGAAATAGACATTAACTGTAAACTAAGGAAATCTGAATAAAGTATGGACTTTAGTTAATATGAATGCACCAATATCGGTTCATGGAGTGTAGCAAATGGACTACAGTGGTATGTTAA